>NC_000004.12:91042593-91345623 GCF_000001405.40 Homo sapiens | reverse complement strand
TCAATAATCAGGGAAACAGTGGGGCATGGTAAGGAGATACAGGGGACCTGCACTTTCTGCTCATTTTAGAAATAAATTATAACTACACAAAAAATAAAATCTATTAATTAAAAAAGAAAAGTCCAATTTGTTGCAAAGGTTTACCTAAATAAATACTTATTCATTGAAAATAATTTTTACTTTAAATTGATCATATTGCTCATAGAGTTTCTTTTTTTCTTCTTCTTCTTCATTTTTGAGATGGAGTTTCACTCTGTCTCCCAGGCTGGAGTGCAGTGGCAGGATCTTGACTCACTGCAACCTCTGCCTCCCAGGTTCAAGCGATTCTCCTGCCTCAGCCTCCTGAGCAGCTGGAGAAGCACCCGCCCTCACTCCTGGCTAATTTTGCATTTTTAGTAGAGACAGGGTTTCGTCATATTGGCCAGGCCAGTCTTGAACTCCTGATCCTCAAGTGATCTGCACACCTTGGCCTCCCAAAGTGATGGGATTAGAGGTGTGAGCCACCGTGCCAGGCCACTAATAAAGATTTTCAACAACTCCAGGGAACAGTTAGGAAAGTGCTTCCTTCTTCAAGGAACATAGCACTTACAATATTTTAACAGCTTCTGTTAATTTCTTTTCAATGCTCAGAGAGATTATATTGTTAATTAATATTTTCTACTTAAGTTGGCACATACTTATTGCTCATAAACATTTATGAAGTCTGTCTAATGATATACTCGACCTCTTTGAATAATCATTTCAAATATTTACATATTTACCTTTATAATTCATTTATTTTGAGTACTGTAATATTATCCCCCAGTATGAATTTCATGTAGAGGCTTATAAATATCTAGCTTTTCCCTAGTATCTCTGTGATTACATTTACTTTAAAGTAGTTTTTCCCAGATAGCAACTTTCCCATCATTCAAGAAACTTTTAATGCCATTCACTATTTCTTCAAATAGAATCTCTTTTATTCCTTTTTTTTTTTCCTTTGTAGACTCCAAAGTTTGAGGTTAAAAAGCTACCAAAAAACTTATTAAACAACTCTACAATTATCTGTACCTAAATATTTTGTTACTTTTCCACAGGAAGCTCTGCATTATTCTATATTTTCTATTATTTTAAAACACTTATAAACCATGTCTATTACTACACATTACATTACACTTACTTTTTCTTTCCATATCAGAAATTGGAAGAAATCATTATTATGCTTTAAAATGTAGAATGTAGATATTTCTTTGTTATAATTATTATGCCGAAGTCTTAGTCCATTGGGGCTGATGTAACAAAATAACTTAGACTGTGTAACTTATAAAAATTTCTCACAGTTCTGGAGTTTGGGAAACTTAAATCAAGGCACTGGCAAGAACTGGTGTCAAGTGGGGGCCTTATTCTTCAGAGATGGTGCATTCTATGTGTTCTCACATGGAGGAAGGGGCAAACAAACTCTCTCAGATCCCTTTTATAAGGACACTAATCACATTCAGCTGGCGAAGCCCTTAAGACTTAATCACCTTCTAAAGGCCCCACTTCTTAATACTATCACATTAGGGATTAGGTTTCAACATATGAATATTGAGGGATCACAAACATCCAACCATAGTAGCTGCTAATTCCAATGATAAATGGCAGTTACCTAAATTTCAGTCTTCCACATATCACCTTCAAAGGCCATATCAGTGTACTACCTATTATTTATTTTTACATTTCTTAAACTCAAATTTTAACTTACATATATGTGTAGAGAAAATCTCATTTCAGTATCATGTGGAAAACCAGTACCACTTGCTATAGACTATAGTCATCACAAATAAATACCATGAAAACAGACCAATATTGTTAAATTTTACATAGATCGTATTGTCTGATGAGGGGCTTAGTCTAGTACCTCCTCTCTCTTTCTTAAAGTAAGAGGTTGAATATATTAAGGTGTTAAAGATCTATCATCTCCACGCTAAAATTTGATTAAAAATTCTATCTCAAGAAACAGTAGGTACTGTTAAAGGAAATTTAATTCTCCTTCTGTAAATAAACGTTCCTTAAATTCAGAGCACCCACAATCATTTCTGGTATAATCCAACTTAGTGAATTCACACTTTGGAAATAATAGCATAGAGATTAGTGCAAGAAAGATTTACTTTTATCTCTAGAAAATGTATTTTTTTAAATGGTAAGTCATTGTCTAGTGTGTTTATTTTCACTGTTTTGCTCAAAGGATTTTCTGATGTACAAATCAATTTGTGTTAAAATTCTGAGCAAAGGGAAAACATGTAGCTAAAGCAGAAAAAGCTGTCAAGCATATAATGTGGAATTTCATTTCAGGTTAATGAGGAAAGATTTTTGCATCATACAATTAAATAAAATTTAAGTATTTTTAAAATTTTTTATTAATCACATACTATGTACCAAGTGTTCTTCCAGATTCTAAAATAGAGGATAAGAAAAATTTCAGAAGAAATTGGGCAAAAAGGAAAAACTGTTAATCTTTATTATTTGGGATCCTTGTTACTACCATGTAGGCAACAGTAAATATTTTATTATAAATTTGTAACATGTATTTATAATGTATTATATAACACAGATTTCAACCACTTCAAAAATCAGTATCTTCACTGAATTTTTTATATTCCTAGTACGGGAATGTCATTTATTTGCTTACATATAAAAATATAATAAACTTTAAATTTTTTGCTTAAAGGAGTGAATTAATCACAAAGCTTGAATGACTTAACATGAATGTTCTCAAGGAAAATGATGAATCACATAATTCTGTAAAGAAACCAAATAAAACAAATGAAAAGAAAGCTGCATTTATCAGTGGGGAAAGTGACCAGGGAATGTATACATTCCTATGCCTGACAATAGGCATACAACCTATATGTAATTGAAACATTTTAGAAGGACATATGGAATCACTTTTATTGTTGTATGTGTAAAACTGTTCCTGGAGTCAGGAATTTCTTGTTAGATGTTGGCAATGATAGAACTGAGTTACTAACACAAAATGAGACACTGAAAACCCTATCTTTTGTTTTACTTTGTTTTTATGGGAAAAAATACACAGAACATGATATGCCAGAAATAAAAGAAACAAAAATTAGTACCTAATTTATTATACACATGGAATATGCTGAGAAATTTCAACATGTTTAACACTTTGGTAAAAAGAGTAGGCCAATCCTTATATTTTTGTGACTTTCCAAGGTATTAGCACTTAGTCTTTACATACAAACCAAAGTATCCAAAGACTAAGTAAAAAGTCTAAGGTTATAAAGTAATGGTTACTATGTCCATATTAAAGATATAAAGTAATGGCTAATATGTCTAGCTTTAGATCAGGCTATCTGGGTTTGAATTCTAGCTCTATTACTCATTTAACTGTGGGACACTGTGAACTTAGTAAACCTCTCTGGGTTTTGGCCTTCTTCATCTAGAAATGGGTATGATAATTTTAACAATCTTATAGACTGTAGTAAAAATTACAAATGTCAATATATTTCAAATGCTTAGTGTAGTGAAGTTTCCTATTTTTTTAGATTTTTAGCCTATTCACTTTTATGCAGCAAAACAGGTGACAGAAATACAGAATTTAAACTTTTACCCTCTGATTAGATTTAATTGCATCCTTTCCTCTTACTCTGTGCCCTTTCCTACTTTATATATAACAGCAATTAATGTAGATGCATGAAAATATTAACAATAATTTTGTAAAATACATAATGCCAAAAGTCCTGGTAAAAGTCTTTATATTTTCCAAGTAAAAGAAATGCACTAAATAACTATCATTTTTATTCTAGGCCAAGTGCGGTGGTTCATGCCTATAATCCCAGCACTTCGGAAGACCGAGGCAGGCGGATCACTTGAGGTCAAGAGACCAGACTGGCCAACATGGTGAAACCCTGTTTCCACCAAAAAATACAAAAATTAGCCAGGGGTGGTAGTGCATGTCTGGAGCCCCAGCTATTCGGGAGGCTAAGGTGGGAGAATAGCTTGAACCTGGAGGCAGTGAGCCGACATGGCACAACTGCACTCCAGCCTGGATGACAGAGTGAGACCCTGTCTCAAAAACAAAAAACAAAACAAAACAAACAACCAAAAAACTATCATTTTATTCTAAATGCACATGCTAAATGTTAAAGTGCATTTTCAATTGTATTCAATTTTTTTCTCTATCAGAAAACCATTAAAGCTACTTTTAATGTTAATTGTAGTTAGTTATATTCTGAAACTAATAATTAGAACTTTTTTCTAAAACCAAAGCTTTTTGTAGTTCCAAGCATATCACCCTATTACACTGCTTTACTCAATCCACAGTTCAGAAAAGCAAAACCACAGAATTAATCAGTGCATTTTTATTTTCCATTCTCTATGGTGCCCTTTTGTAGCTTTCAATTATAAAGAGAAAATTATGAAAATAAAATAAAAACCTAAGTCACCTTAGAAAGCAATGATCTGAAAACAAAGTCAAAGGACTGAAATCATTTTAATAAAGTTTCTAAATGTTGAGAATAAAACAGCAGAAGGCAGCTGAATGAAATCATAGCCTGCCCCTCTGAGATCTGGGCAGCAAATTTGCCATGCTACTCCACAAGTCATTTAATATTTTCATTAAAATGGAAAAACTTAACAGGAGTTTCAGTTATGTCCATTATGCTCAGGAGACCAACTTTTGAAACTAGGCCAATAGATCCTGACTAACTCACAAAAGCTAAATGATTTTTTATATTAATCATGCAATATTAAAGCCAGGCAGAGATACTTAAAGAAATTTAGAAACACTGGCTCTATTTTAACGAAGTTCCCACAATTTCATATTGTGGTGCCCACTGTGAATTGATATAGAAATTCCTGTGCAGGCAATGGAAAGATAACCTAAAATCAAAATCACAAAAAGAAGTCCAAACTAACAATTAAACAGATGTATACACCACACAATCTTCATTAAATTAGATTTATAAGCTGTAATTATCTATAATATATTATCAAAGTATGATAGAAGATAGCATGTATAACTTCACCACATACCAAATTAAAGACATTTAATATGCAATTCTTCTTTTCATATGAAAACACAATTTCCTGACACTATTAAGACTTAATTACTTAACAAAAAAGCCCATAAATCAAAATAGTCATACATATTCTTCTCAAAGGCTACAGCAAATGTTTTTGTCAACTAGCCTCTATTCATTCTTCATGGAATTATATCCAAATTTCCCTCTGGGGAAAAAAATTCTTCTTTACATTCTACTAAATGCATTTGATGGAAATCACATATTTAATTCAGGACAGTGATTGATTTGTTGGTGTAGACAGTAATTCTTCCTTATCTGTAGTTTCACTTTCTACTGTTTCAGTTACTCACAATGTAGTACAATAAGAAATTTTGAGAGAATTAGACCACATTCACATAACTTTTAATACAATATATGTTATAATTATCCTATTTTATTATTAGATACGGTTGTTAATCTCTTACTGTGGCAAACTTATAAATTAATCTTTTTTTGTTTTTTTTGAGACAGTCTCTCTCTGTAGCCCAGGCTGGAGTACAGTGGTGTGATCATGGCTCACTGCAACCTCTGCCTCCCGGGTTCAAGCGATTCTCCTGCCTCAGCCTACTGAATTGCTGGGATTACAGGTGCGTGCCACCACTCCTGGCTAATTTTTGTATTTTTAGTAGAGATGGGGTTTCACCATGTTGATCAGGCTGGTCTTGAACTCCTGACCTCGTGATCTGCCTGCTTCAGCCTCCCAAAGTGCTGGGATTACAGGCATAAGCCATGGCACCTGGCCTAAATTAATCTTTGTCGTAGGTATTCATGTAAAGAAAAAAAAAATAGTATACATAGGGTTCAGTACTATCTATGCTTTCAGGCATCTACTGGGGGTCTTGGAATGTATCCCCTACAGAGAAGAGGGGGAGAGCTGTATCTTCCCTACCAGAACCAAAAGTACATCATGAGTATTATTCTGAGGAAGATTTTGGTAAAGAAAAAAGTGGTACTGAAATCTGAGAGGATGTAGAATGTTGCAACTGATGCTGCCATCTTGTTACCATTCAAAAGCAGAGACTGAAGTCAAACACAGCGAAAAGCAAAGCTACAAGTATGAAGAGATGTCAAAAACTGAGAGCTCTATTTATTTCTAAATCCAACAGCCTTAAGTCAGCCCTACCCCCCCATATTAACTCGGATAAAGTAACTATAGGGTTTTTTTTCTTTCACTTAAAAAGTGATTCAAAAACAAAGATTCATAAGTGATCAAAAATAAAAAGAGGAACTATATAGGAATCTTTCAACTTTATTAATGTATTCATTATTTTAATATAATATTTATTACACAATCATTTAGTGTCTGGCAGTATGGCAAGTGCTAAGAATTCACTTAGACTCCATTCTTAATTGTCTTATCTTTCATTTCAGTTTTCCCTTCCCAGGACATCAAGGCTTCTTAAAGCAAAGATATACTTACTTGATGTAATGTGGAGTTTCCTATACCAAAATTCCTTCAGCATTGAGGCACAATTCTATATGCTAGACTATTCATAAGCATCAAGTAAATCAATGATTTTGGACCAAAAGTCAGAAGAATAAAAAGATAGTTTTAAAACTCATTACTTGATATGATAGGGAAGGCAGAAGAGAAATTGAATGGTAAAGGAACAGTGGTCTTCAAATGAATGCAGTATCTTTGGCCAAACTGCCTGTATTTCAAGAGACTGCTACGTGGTGTTAAAACAAAAAATTCTGTGCTTTTAAATATATATATTTAAAGAGAAAACTACATCAGCATGTGGGCATCACCAGGAAATTTTATGGATTCCAGTTTTCTAGTCTTTATTTTGGGAAATATGCTATTAAATTTTAACCCACATGATACTGAAATGCCATATAAGTGAGTTCCACATCTATGTGAAGTAAATTACTTAATGTGCATAATTTGTTTTCTAATTCCTACCTGAAAAATGTTGTCACTTGGAAATTTTCATTTTAAGTGCACTTTAGTATGTTAACTATATTGTTTATCTTATTTTAAGAGATTTAAAAATCTGTGCTTTCTTCTAAGTTGTATCTATGCATTATAATGTTTGCAGGTCAACTTGTTTGTGTAACCCATGTATTAAATTATTTTCATTTTTCATTGCCCTCACCTAATAAATATTAGATGATGGCACTTGATCTTTGATTCTTCAAGAATTACAGAGTTGTTTCCTTAACTCCAGAAGTCACGCCCCAAGGGACAATTCTTTGGACTTTTGTGATGTGCCTTAAGAATCTGAAATAGAATGATTTACACGGTATGTTGCTATATTCTTCTCATGATGCCTCCTACAGAGGATTCATCTATATATTTACAGGTTTATAATTAATAACCACTTTTATATTCTCAGCTTTTATAATAACTGTCATAATGTAATGACAGGAGAGCCATGGCTACAAGGCTGTTTGGAATGTCTAGGCCAGAGAGAAAGAAAGTGCACAAACAATCTAGGGGGATTTAAAAAGCTCATCAGGATTATACGATTATCTACCTAAAGAGTCAGTGTTCACATACAAGAGGGATAAGTAATCCTGAATCTGATCAGGGCTATTCTCAAGGGATTTTATAAGAAGAGAAGGACAAAGGCATTAGCTATAGTCAGGAACTTACAAGGCTGGGGCCAAAACACTGAAAATACTGTTTTCCCCCACTTCCACTGCCACACATACCTCTCTCCTTATGTAATTTAAAATTGTAACAGTAACAAAACTTAAACGTGATAAGATCTTTAAAGTGTCCTGATTGTCCCACTATGACTAATTCAAATTCTTTTATTATTAAACCCTGATATATTAATAAATATAAAAATGTTAGTTTCACCCAGAGAGTGTCTACAGAATATCCCTAGTTCTTGAAAGGGTCTGTGTTATAGCTACAGTTGAGAGGAAAAAGCCTTGGGGAACAGGAGAGAATGTTTTATCCATGTTCACTTGGCTAGAGCTCAGATTCCAGAATCAGGCCCAGAAATACTCCAAAAGAGGAACTAGGAACAGGATGAGTTCAAAGACTCAGCAGACAAACAGGTCACAGTCATTAAGGGTTACGTAAAGAAGCTGCAGTCCAAAGTTTATAAGATGCCTAATGCATGGAATATCAATATGGAAAGAACCAGGTGACACATTCAGACTCACTTCTTAAAATGCCAGATGTTCTAATCTGTATTCCAATTTAGATTAACTGAACAGGATTTATTCCACTGATACAGCCATTGTATCAGAAGATGATGAGGCAAGACTTGACCACAACGCAGAAAAATATGGTTCTCTTGTGTAATACTTGGTTCTAATGTATATGGTATATTAGAAAATTATGGTGGATGTTCATGCGTTATAAGTAAGCATTATCATTCTAACCTGCATTCAGTTCAAATAAACTCATTAAATGTCTCTAAATTTCTCTAGACTAACTTCCCTTTCTGAAATCATTACAATAGCATCAGTAATCTAAACTTGACTCTTTCTGAAAATGTGCAGACTTTAGCATAGTTAGCAGCTGTTGGATAAACTAACATCTGTTATATCTTTTGAGGAGCTGTCATCAATGTAAATATGTAAGCATTTATATGAAAAAGGTCTAATACTGACTCCATTTTAGTTTATTCTATATGCATTTGTATTTATTTACATCTTTAACAAAAAGATGCATTCACATATTATAAGGGGATGTATTTATACATATCACTTCATAATCAAATCAACACAAAGTACCATATTACCTAACCATTAACAAATTAACAGTTATTTTCCCTGAGGGCATAAATGTGGAGGTCAGTAAAGTTTAACATTATGTTTCTATAATTTTATAGGCAGATAATTTTAATCAGATAAAAGTAATGTTTTTGTTAAAATATAATTAAAGAGAGTTCTTAAGTCTATTAGAATAAACTCTAATTAGAATAAATATCAATACATATTTATTATCCAATTACTACTGAAAGACTGTTTTATTTTTGTATATATGACAATTTCAATCATTTTAGGCATTGAGCCCTTTATGTATTTTGTTCTGAAAAGTTAGTTTTTCTACATTTCCTAAAGTGGAAGTTTGAAATCTTCACTGTATAGAAGGAACATTTTATCAAAGATGTGTTTTGCATGCATTATTCCTCCAAGTATAGCAATGTATTAAGGGAAAGGCATAGCGTAGCAAATACTAGGCTTATACCTTCTTGTGAATTAATAATTAAGTCTTAAAGACAAGGGACTTTATTGACCAGTTCTGTAGGATTTATAGCTTTATAGAATATTAAATACTTGAAGCTCATAAAATTCTGACAATAATTAAAAATGGATTCTAATTTTCAAATATACTCTGAATCAAAGTAGAGTAAATGTAATTATGTATGCAAGGTGCATAGAAACAACACAGATATATAACTATGCTGGGCAGTATGTATGGAAATGTAGCTTGATGAGATGGAGATTCTCTTATCAACAACAGTTAATGAATGTGCATAGACACAGATATCATTACAATTGAATTTTAAATAACTTTTCCTCTTACTATGTACATATACCCTCCTCCTTTCTTCTCAGCAGTTATATAAAAGTAAGGCTTTGCTGAATTTGCCCTTTACAATTCATGATCAAAGCTATGATAAGAGAAGCAGAAAAATAAAGTGCAGCAAATGAAGAGTAAATTATGGCCAAAAATGGTTTTGTGATTCTTTATGTAAGGCATGTTGTTAAAACGTAAATGTATACAAAACTCAAATTACTCTTCCACACTGACAGTGATGAGCACACATAAACAATTTTTTTTGTCTCTAACTCTAAAAAAAATCCTAGTCAACATGATTTGTCTTTTCATGATGCTGCTAAAGAAATGGCCACCATTTTCCACAATAACACACTGATCTGACTGCCCCAATGCTGTATCTTCTTCACCTGAAATATTTCCCTGACTTTTCCTATAAAACATGGTATCAGCTCCACTGAAAGAAGTCTCTGTTTTCTCTCCTTATTCATGTTCTGGATATTATTATAATACCCCTTCTATGTCCAGAAAAGGGAAAGAATTTCCTCTGCACTCCCCGTGAGAAAAACAGTCTCTTTCTCCAACATTGCCTTATTTCTCCTAATAAAATAAGTAAAATGAGTGAAGTACTTAATTCATGTCATTGAGAAAAAGCTCAGTAAAACCCTGCTCAGTCTTTCTGGTCCTCTCTCCTTTCCTTCACAGCCACCCTTCCCGCTGTTTTCTCTTCCTGGAACAGGTAAGCTTTAGGGAGTTAGAAAGTAGGTCTGGATGTGGGGACAGGGTAGGAGGTATGCCTTTCTCCATCCTGCTTAGTCTGTGATAGCGTGGGCAAGTTCACTGGGGATTGGGGTAGGAAACAGAAAATACATTTTGCCCTCAGTTTCATGCTGTGGCTCCTTTCCAGCTTTAGCTAACCTTTTCCTCCCTTACTTGAGATGCTGGTTTACCATTGGCTGACAACACGAACAATCTATAAAGAGCCTGGAGAATCCAGGCTCCAGGCTGAAAAATCCCCACTCAGAAATGCCTATTCTCATTTCTGCAATATTACAAAGAATAGATATTAATTTTACTCAGAATAACAGTAGTCTTTTAATTAAAAAAAACATTTAAAAGCTTTATTTCATTTCAGTAAGAAAACCTTCAGGCAGAATTCAACACACAAACACTGAAGATTTTTTTTTTTCATTCTTAAATCCCAGCCCATGTTAGTTTTTACTGACCTGAATAAATGTATCTTCCTCACCAAGTGAGCTTTACAGATTTAGGAAGCACATAGCAGATATGGCTTTAATATAGAATGGCCAACACAGATAGACATACAATTGGAAAGGGAAACTGTCCCACTCAACTAGACGTCCACACCCATGAGAAAAGACATCATAGGTGATGACACTTACTCACTTAAATGTGGAAAACAATGCACAAATACAGCCCTTTGCAAAATGTGCTAAGTGATGCATACATATTTAGATTTCTCTGATCAGGAAAAAGTGTTCTCTACCACCATGTTTTATAGATTTTCTAGGGTGTGTGGGTGTGTCTGTGTGTGTGAGTGAATGTGTGTGTGTGAGTGTGTGTTTTCTTTTCTCTACCTTATTACAATGGTAGCAACTGCTTTTCTCATGTCTTTTCACCTGTCGCTGCAAATTGTGTCAAACATTGACACATAGTAAATACAGAGTAGATATTTACTGAATATTTTAATGAACTTTTTAATGAATTAGGGAACACCTAGGTAAAATGTTAGGGATATAAAATGAGATCCAGACACACATACCTCAAGAAGCATACGAGGTTGAGAGAAGTGCATGATGCTGAATAAAACACTGGTTTTGAAGAAGGCATGAGCAAGAGAGTTTTGGTTAGATAAGAAATAAGTAGAGAGGTAAAACAGATTGGCTGTATAACAAAGAAAACTTGTGATTTTGTCGCTATTATCACATAATTAGGATCTCAAGAATCTCATGGAATAACAATACATTACACCATTTATGTAAACATTTGTATGTTTTGAAATAACACTGAATTTTTTAGTATAACTTTTTAAAGTGTTTAAATTGTTCAATTTAACTCTTTAGCTGCTTTTTGGTAAAATACATAGATGATGTCCATTTTCCAAAACACATTAATAACTTCTCAGTAACTTTTGCTTCTATTGTAAGAAAAAATTATTTGAAAAACTGAGAGACTGTTAATCTGTTTTGAATGTAAGAATTACACTGACTTATGTCACTCAGACATAAGTCAATCCAAAAAAGTAATTGTCTTGCTCTTTTGCTATTTGTATGTCCTTCTACCTCATGTTATCAGATTTCAGCTCCTACTTAGTACTAACTTTAATCAGTTTTTTAAAAACTATAAATACATTTAACAGGATTATACAAATACAGACTGTATTTTTTAATTATGAAAACAGTTATATTTATGTATTGTTTACATGGTCCCACTATTAATATTATTGATTTGTGATTGTATATTACAGCCAGAAGAGGTGTTCTACTTTATTCTGCTTCCATATCTGAAAGCCATGGTCCACAGAAGTAGGAGGTGCAACCCAATATGCAGATAAATCATAAAATGAAAATCTGTCATTATGTTTTAGCCCTATATAATGGAGAGAGGAAGGGATAGCAAATGAATATGATGGGCAACATGATTCTTGCCTTAAAAGTACAAATGTAAGAGTGTTTTACAGATAGCTAGAGTCCTTGCCAGAGTTTACAATGCTTTTCTCAGCAAATAAGTTGACTGCAAATGAATAATGTTTCAGGTGACATAACACTTGCAAATCTAGAAGCAACTTACATTTCAGTTTTGAAGAATTCTATGATAAACAAGTCATTTTGTCTGATACACAGTGGTAGATGATTAAGATGGTGCATTATACTGTATTCAGAATTCTTTTTTTTCAGGACTATCAATCCAACCATAATGGTATGTTATAAAAACATGCACACTTGGACAATTCCTCTCATAACAATAGCATTCCAAATGTTTCTGCAGATGTTTCGCGAAGATTGCCTTTGTGACAAGAATGGATGTTTAGATGCTCATAAGCATAAAAATCTAACACAAGAACAAGGAGAAACATTCTCCCATGAGAGTTAAGTTTGTTCATCTCAAGTAATTTTGAAACTGAAGTTGCATGTGAGACAGTGAATTTAATAAACTTTTATACATAATAGAAATAATGTTACTTATGTGGCCATTTTTAATGGGGCAGAATGTCTCCCTGAAGAAATAAAGCTATTTAAAACTTTACAGGGAAAATGACAAGGCCTTTTTATATAAAAAGTAGGTTCAGATTTCACTTGGATATTTAGCAGCAGAAAGAAAGGTGATGTTACTATAAACTGAATTAGCAGTATACAAAGCTCCTTACGTTCCACAGACCTGTAGTTTGCCTATTAGAGCTACTAATGATCTTGATGGATGTTACAACTGTTAATATTCTTACCTTTTATTTCCTACCTCCTTTTGTAGCGCTGTAATAAATCCTTACAACTGAGGTAAGTTAAATGGCCCTTTTTTTTTATCTGAAAGTTATGGAATTTATTATATGTATCTATTGTATATAAAAAATAAAAAGAACTAGAAACTCTGGTACCTAGATAATTATAGCATTGTTAGATGGTAATGACAATTTTCCATTATTCCAGTGTATTTATTATTATATTTATCCTAGTCCTAAGGGACTTAAGTTAATTTATTATTTATATCTAAAATTTCTCCACTTTGATCTATTTTCCCACAGGGTTTGTAAGCACTCCAGTAATGTTGACAATGAGAGGGATAATATTATCAATGTAAGCAATGCTTTCCAGATTAAAAGAAGAAAATTATATTTTGATTACCAAAGAAAACATGATTTTGTTTTAAGAATTTTTCAATTATGCTATAAATAATTATATTATTTCTAAAATAACAACATTGAATCTGAAAATAAGATTAATTATAATTTGAAATTAGTTTTTAATGAGCATTCGAAATGATTTCAACACAAGAAAAGCATGTCAAATAAACCAATATAGTACATTTTTAGAAATTAGGAAGTTTTCAATAAGCTAATGAGAATCTAATGTCTTATTATCATTCATTTATATTGACATCAAATTGCTGAAGTTCATTGTGATATGTATATGTATCAGCCTAATTTTGATGGTGATGAAAACAGCTTTGTTTTAGAAGTATTCATATATTGCAAAGAGTCTCTATTGAGAGATACAGGTCTTGTAGTTGGCCTACTTAGTTTCAAGTGTAGCCTAGCAGTACTCTTTAGTGAACAAATATCTTGTGTCAGATGTTGTGTTACATGCAGCTTGTGATAAAGATATGTTATCCTGTGTTGATGGAGCTTACAAGCCTAGTGGGTGGGGCACTGTATTTATCAATTGACATCTTTTTAAATGTGCAAAATCAACGCTCAAAACACATCTTATGGAGATTCTATGTTTATTATTTTATGCAAATTTGTAAAAAGCCCTTGACAGAGTCAGGGAGGTTAAGGAAGATTTTATTCAAAAGTTTCTAGATCTGAAAAATAAATAGGAATTAACTAGAAAGGTAAAGAGGGTAAGGTCAAATGTCTTGAAGCAGGCAAGCGTCAGGAAGGAAAACGTCACTGTGGCAGAGCAGCAAGCCAGTAGAAGCTTGAAACAAGATGAGGCTAAAAGATGATGTGGAGCCAGATCTTTTAAGCCCTTGCAGATACCTTAGGGGTTTCTTACATGAGCAAGAGTGGGTCTAGAATTACAATGGGACGGTCAGATTTGCATGTTAAGTAATAAAATGAAAAATTAAAGAAAACTAAAGTGTCCATAGTGGGATGTAACACATGAGGAAAATATATCTGACAAGGATATTAAAGAAATAGCAATAAAAAATTGAGTTATTCAACTCCTCTGTATGCCATTGTCCTAAATATAAAATAAGGAAGTTAGACTGGATACCTTCTAAGATACTTTCCATTTCCAACATTCTATGAATCATGTACAGTAGTTCCCCCTTATCTTGAAGGATACATTTCAAGACCCCCAGTGGATGTCTGAAACCAAGGATAATACTGAACGCTACACACACTATGGTTTTTCCTGTATAATAACAGCAGGTTAGCCTATAAGTTATGAATAAGCTGGACAAAGGGATGATTCATGTCCCAGGCTGAACAAAGCCAGACAGCACAAGAATTTATCATGCTTCCCAAAACTGCATGCAATTTAAAACTTATTAAATATTTATTTGTGGAACTTTACATTTAATATTTTCAGACTGCAACTGACCACAGATAACTTAAACCGTGAAAAGCAAAACCTCAGATAAGGGGAGACTACTGTAATTTGGAAGTGAAACCTGCACTGATTGGGAAGGATACTTGTTATAGAAAGTAAAGTACCTAAAAGCTGAGCCACTACTTCTCCAGGGCAATTGGTCTCCTTGATTGTTTTGCAACAGGGATATTTTAAATTGGAAAACTGAAAAGATAATGAAGAGTTTTTATTTCTATTTCCAGATAAGTTAGCCTTTACAGCATTTGGATGTTGCTTCCGCAAGGGGAAGACAAGCCCTCACTTAGCTCAGCTAAAGGGTTATCTTAATGTTTTTGAGGGGTAATAAGAGAAATTACTGTTAGTTGGAAAAAAAATAGAAAGAGACAAATAGAAAATTTCCTAAGACTCTGTAAGAGACATTCTTGGCTCTCTTCTCACTCCACATTTGCCACAGTGATCGGTGACTTGAAGCACCATGACTTGAAGTATCAGCTAAGTGAGTATTAGTCTCAATTTTTTCCTTTCAATATTAATCTATCTCTGTAATTTCCATCCCATTTTTCTACTACCTCCTAAGCATCAATAACCATAAAAGATAAGTAAGAGAAAAAATTAAATGTATTTCTGAATAAATAACATTTCTGCAATTATAAAATTCTTAGCTCTGGATAATGAAATTACTGCTTATCAACCTGTACGTGGAGTAAAAGCAGTACTTAGAGGGAAGTAAAATACACTTGAAGAATTACATTAGAAAAAAGTAAAGGCAAAAAATTAATGAAGTAGAAACTCAAAATAAGAAGTTAGAATAAAACAGAAGAATAAACCCAAAGAATACAGCAGAGGAAAACTCATACTCTTAAGAGCAAAAGTTAATGAAAGGAAAAATAAAGGAGGAGCAATAAAGCAAAATGACTAATAAAAGTAGCAAATATCTGGGAAAAAAATTTAACAACAAAAGAGAGAAGCCAAATATAAATAACATTGGGAATTAAAAGGAGGACATGATTATAACTCTAGCAAGGAGTAAAAAAATACAAAAGAATCACTAACAATTTTACATAAGAAATATTTAAAGTTGAGGTTCATGGCAGGTAATTAGATCATGAGGGTAGAGTCCTCATAAATGGGATTAGTGCCCTAATGAGAAGAGACACAAGAGAGATGACTTAGACACTGCCATGTGAAGACACAACAAGAACATAGCCATCTGTCAACCAGGAAGAGGGTCCTCACCAGACACTGGTGGCACCTTGATCTGCTAGCACCTTGATCTTGGAGTTTTCGTTCTCCAAAACTGTGACAAATACATGCTGTTTAAAGCCACCCAGTCATGGGATCCCAACATGACTAACACACCCATAAAACTAAATAATATGGGAAACTCATACTTAATGATAATATTTTAACAGCATTTCCCTTGAACTCAGAAATGGGAAAAATGTACCTGTGTTATTTCTGTTTAACATTTTATTGTGAATTCTACTTAGTAAATTGTAAAAGAAAATTAACACACAGCATCAGAAATTAGAGTTGTCATTATTTGTAGAAAAGATGATTTTTAAAAAATTGCTTAGCAGCATTGCTGGATATAAGATCAATATGTTCAAAATATTTTTCCCTTTACATTTCAGTGTATTATTTTTCACAGATATTTTAACTACTCTTTTTGTGTGGAAGATAAATTAGAGTTCTATGTGATATTATACTAATACAAGAGTATTAATCTGTTCTCATTCTGCTAATAAAGATAAAACTGAGACTGGGTAATTTATAAAGGAAAGAGGTTTAATTGACTGACATCTCCACATGGCTGAGGAGGCCTCACAATCACGTCAGAAGGCAAATGAGGAGCAAAGTCACATCTTACATGGCGGCAGGCAAGAGAGCTTTTGCAGGGGAACTCCCACTTATAAATCCCTCAGATCTCATGAGACCTATTCACTACCATGAGAACAGTAGGGGGGAAACTGCTACCATGATTCAACTATCTCTACGTGGTCCCATCCTTGACATGTGGGGATCATTACAATTCAAGGTGATATTTGGGTGAGGACACAGCCAAACCATATCAACTCTTTAATAATAACATACAAAATAAAATAAATATGCATTGTGTCTACATTCCCAGGTGCCAAAAGTGTTTTATTTTATTTTATAGGGTCCCTTTATCACATAATTTAACTAAACTTTCACTGTTAATTAATGAGTACAAATAATTCAGGTAAGTTTTACTGAAATCTAAAATCCAAGTGGTTCGGAAAATATTTCTGTGGTTGATATGGTTTGGCTGTCTGTCCCCACTCAACTCTCCTGTTGAA
This sequence comes from Homo sapiens, assembly GCF_000001405.40. Classification (NCBI taxonomy): domain Eukaryota; kingdom Metazoa; phylum Chordata; class Mammalia; order Primates; family Hominidae; genus Homo; species Homo sapiens. The sequence continues at coordinate 91,328,519 of NC_000004.12, read as the reverse complement.
TTGTAATCTGCAATGTTGAAGGTGAGGCCTGGTAGGAAGTGATTGGATCATGGGGGCAGACTTCTCCTTTGCTGTTCTTGTGATAGTGAGTGAGTTTTCACAAGGTCTGGTTGTTTAAAAATGTGTACTACTTCCTCCTACACTTTCTTTCCTGCTCTGATGTGAGGATGTGCTTACTTCCCCTTTACCTTTGGCCATGATTGTAAGTTTCCTGAGGCCTCTCAGACAGCTTTCCTGTACAGCCTGTGTAACTGTGAGTCAATTAAACCTCTTTTCTTCATAAATTACCCAGTCTAAGGTAGTTCTTTATAGCAGTGTGAAAATGGACTAATACAGAAAATTGAAATCAGGAGTTGGGTCTTGCTATAAAGATACCTAAAAATGTGGAAGCAGCTTTGGAACTGGGTAATGGGCAGAAGTTAGGACAGTTTTTAAGGCTCAGAAGAAGGCAGGAAATTGAGAAGATTGAAGCATTCTAGAGACCTGTTGAATGGTTGTGACCAAAATTCTGATAGTTACATGGATAATGAAGTCCAGGCTGAGGTGGTCTCAGATGGAGATGAGGAACTTATTGGGAACTGGAGTAAAGGTCATTCTTGTTATGCTTTAGCAAAGAGACTGGTGGCATTGTGCCTCACTCTAGAGATCTGTGGAACTTTGAGATTGAGAGAAATGATTTAGGGTATCTGCTGGAACAAATCTCAAAGGAGCAAAAGCATGTAAGATTTGGCCTGGCTGCTTCTAAAAGCCTATGCTCATTTGCAGAAACAAAGAAATGACCTGAATTTGGAACTTATATTTAAAGGGGAAGTAGAGCATAAAAGCTTGGAAAATTTGCAGCCTGGCCATGTGATAGAAAATAAAAAGCTATTTTCTCAGGAGAAATTCAAGTCAACTACAGAAATTTGCATAAGAAAAGAGGAGTCAAATGTTAAAAGCCAAGACAATGGGGAAAATGCCCCCAGGGCATTTCAGAGACCTTCATGGCAGCCCCTCCCATCACAGGCCTGGAGGCCTAGGAGGGAAAAATGGTTTCATGGGCCAGGCTTAGGGCCCTGCTGCTCTGTGCTGCCTTGAGACATGGTGCCTGGCATCCCAGACTCTCCAGCTCCAGCCATGGCTAAAAGGGACCAAGGTGCAGCTCCAACCATTGCTTGAAAGGGTGTAAGCCCCAAGCCTTGGTGGCTTCCCCGTGGTATTGGGCCTGTGGGTGCACAGAAGACAAGAGTTGAGGAGTGGGAGCCTCCACCTACATTTCAGAGGATTATGGAAACACCTGGATGTCCAGGCAGAAGTTTGCTACAGGGGTAGAGCCCTCACGGAGAAACTCTACTAGGGAAGTGCAGAGGGGAAATGTGGGGTTCGAGCCCCCACATAGAGTTCCCACTGGGGCACTGATTAGTGAAGCTGTGAGAAGAGGGCCACCATATTCTAGACCCCAGAACGATAGATCCACCAACAGCTTGTACCATGTGCCTGGAACTGTTGCAGGCACTCTATGCCAGTCCATGAAAATAGCTGCATGGGCTGTGCCTTCCAGAGCCACAGAGGCAGAGCTGCCCAAGGCCTTGGTAGTCCATCCTTTGTGTCAGAGTGGCCTGGATGTGAGACATAGAGTCAGAGGAAGTTAGTTTGAAGCTTTAAGATTTAATGGAGGCACTGCTGGGTTTTGGACTTGGGTGGGGCCTGCAGACCCTTGGTTTTGGCCAATTCCTTTATTTTGGAATGGGAGCATTTAACCAATGCCAGTACCCCCATTGTATCTTGGAAGTAACTAGCTTGTTTTTTGTTTTACAGGCTCATAGGCAGAAGGGACTTGCTGTATGTCAGATGAGACTTTGGATATGGACTTTTGACTTAATGATGGAATGAGTTAGGACTCTGGGGAACTGCTGGAAAGGCATGATTGTGTTTTGAAATAAGAGAAGGACATGGAATTTGGGAGGGGCCAAGGGCAGAATAATATGATTTGGTTCTGTGTTCCCACGCAAATCACATGATGAATTGTTATCCCCCAGTGTTGAAGGTAGGGCCTGGTGGGAGGTGATTGGATCATGAAGGCAGATTTCCCCCTTACTGTTCTAGTGATAGTGAATGAGTTCTCACAAGATCTGGTTGTATAAAGTTGTGTAGCACTTCCCCTTTTACTCTCTTTCTCCTGCTCTGGCCTGAAGACATGCTCACTTCCCCTTCACCTTCTGCCATGATTGTAAGTTTCCTGAGGCCTCCCAGTCATGCTTTCTGTACAGCCTGCAGAACTGTGAGTCAATTAAACCTCTTTCATCATAAATTACCCAGTCTCGGGTAGTTCTTTATAGCAATGTGAGAACAGAATAATGCAGTGGTTATAAAAAGAAGAGCTCATTTTTATTTTGATCTACATGTGCTAATTTAATCAATCTAGGTTTTGTAACTTTACTGAGCAGGATTTTATTAAAATGTCACAAATGTACATATTTATGACATATTCTCAGTCTAGCAATTAGAGAATTCAAAACTCAGAAAAGCAAATTTAACAACTTAAAAAAAAAAACAAAGCTACTCTTTCAAAGAAAACTCTAGGAATTTTGAAGATGGACGTTCATTTCTAATTTGATTCATAAAGTTCTAATCAATGAAGAAATATTTTCATTTCTCAAACTAAAACTAATCTTTTGTTCTGAGAAAATACCAGTGTAAGTTATAAATATTTAATTATACTTTCCAAACTCTTTTTTCTTTGTCTGTTGTGAAGATGGAGAAGGCTGAAGTCATATTGATACTGGAACTGAAATAGTATAAAAGTGAAGATAAGTGAATTGGTTCACATATTAGTCATATGGCAGGCAGCCAAATTCTGAGTCTGGGAAGCTTTGTGCCGTATTGGAAGGAGCAATGGATGAAAGGAGAGACTTTTATTTTACCAGAATCTTGCTGCTGAGATTTGATCTTTGTGCTGAAAATCTGCAGTGCTATTAACCTTGGCCCAAAGCTTATGTTGATTTGGTCTCCTTCTTCATCTAATTATTCCCTTGGCAGCTTCTTCTAGCTGCCTATCTGTTACCCATTCTCCCTTCCTTCTCTTGATTGTTTTCTCAGCATCATAATGTACTAGCTAAAAATACTTCTGCCTACCCCTTGCTCCCTTTCATCTATAGATGACACATGGCATACTTATGAACAGTAAGATATTGGCAATAGTTTCTGTCAAATGGCTTCATTTTCCAAGTAAAGCTTCTTTGGGAAAAAAGCCTTTGTAACTCTTCTTTCTTCTTCCTGCCTAGGACCCATGTGCACAGGCTTAGATGTGCAACAGCCATATCTAATTACAATAATGGCAAGAGCCACCTACTATGCTGGTGAAACAAGAAGACAGAAAAAGAGGACCACTGCTAACCCATTTGACACCTGTGGAATTAGAAATAAGGTACTCCCTCTTGGTAAAGGGTAGCCCCAAGCTATTTAGGGCCCCAAGCCCCTTGCCCCACAGGTCCGATGGCCTTTTGCATTTCCATTCACTATCACTAGAACAATAAGGGGGAAATCTGCCTTCATGATCCAATCACCTCCCACCAGGCCCCACCTTCAACACTAGGGGATTACAATTCGTCATGTGATTTGGGTGGGAACACAGAGCCAAATCATATTATTCTGCCCTTGGCCCCTCCCAAATTCCATGTCCTTCTCATATTTCAAAACATAATCATGCCTTTCCAGCAGTTCCCCAAAGATGCTCAATACTACACTGAAGGCTTAAGAAAAAGTCCGGCACCTTGCTGATTTCAGTAAGGCCCTCAATTAACTCTAGATTGCTATTCCCAGATTTCCTGTACTAGAATGAAATAAAATCTGTATTTATTCAAACAACTCTAGGGTCATATTTTGTTTGTTTATTACTCAGAGCCAAAGACATCACTAATTGATAACACTGCCTATGAGGTTTATAGTTGTTATTCATCTGTTAATATATGTAAATATAAACTACTGTATTCTTAAATAATACAATATTGTTCTATGTAATATTTTTCTTTAAGCTTAAAAATTTAAAACTTCTTTAGAAATTTAAATTTAAAAGATCCAACATTTTCAAAACTTGTCACCAACATTTTGCTCGTGTGAACAAATGTATTGCACGTTGACGTTGACAACACTCGAGAATTCTCTTCTAAACACTTTGCTGAGCACAGTTAGCAATTAAGTCATTTTGACACTCCGACAAATAGTACATTACCATAAAATAGACCCGAAAGACTGATGTTTTCCAAATTATGAAAAAAGTAAACCTATTAAATAATATAAGAATAAATACTATAATTTTGGAGATAGAACAGTTAAATGCAAAATAAAACCTTATATGTATAAATCAGGAGTCCTGATTTAGACAGAATTATGTTAGGCATGTCTCTCTACCTAAATTGTTTCCATTGTAAAGTAAGATTTGATTAAATTACTTTAAGATGATCTCCAGCTTTAACAACAATCTGTAAGAAGTCAAAATTATCATAAGTGAAATTAGATGTCGCTGTATGTCAAATGCATGCCTTTCTTCAGAATGTTTACCAAAAGTCCACTACATAATGACGGAGAATACAAAAGACAAAATTGTGCTTAATCTAGGCTTTCTAGTGAAATATTTCAGAGATGCAGAAACAGAAAGAAAATTTCCTAGCCTCTAATGCAGGATTTTAGTGTGGCAAGTAGTTCCAGTCTAAGGAAAATTGAATTCCATTCAAGAAATTCCCCATGGAACTATGCATCCATAGGCCATTGCGCTAGCAAGGTCTTCCTTGTTATGTTCAGAAAGCTTATGTTAAACTGACCATAATGAGTTTCTGACAAAAAGAAAACTTAGACTTCTTAGATTGTTCAAAGTTTAAATGAGGGATAAACTGCTTTTTTGTTTGCTATAGAAAAATCGTTCAAAATTGAAATTCAGGTAAATATCTTAACCTATGTATCTTAAATGTGTCCTAAGTGTAGAAGGACCTAAAATATCTATAATTCAAGAGTTCTATTTATGTCATTATGTACATTTTAGGTAATCATTCATAAGCAAAAGTTCAATTTACTTGAAAAAAGACTAATGTTTCTTCGTACTTCAGTGTTTTTGAAAAAGTAATAGGGCATCAGAATTTCCATGGGTGCTAGATAAAAACATAGATTCTGAGGCATAACCTAAACCTAAGGAATTAGAACCTCTAAGGAGGAGTCCTATGAATCTGCATTTAAAATGAGCTTTCTGGGTGTTGCACACTAAAGCTTGAGAACCACTGCTCTTTGCCTATTGAGAGCAGAGACCATCTGTTTATCTGCACTGAAAAGGCAACCTGGACTGTCACCAAACACCTGTCCTCAGGATTGCCAGGTATCTTGCCCTTCCAGCCTGGTTGGGTATCTTCCTGTTGGCTACAATGAGTCCAGCCCGCATGTTTCTGCTCAGGTCTAATGGATATTCCTCTTTTACTGGTTTGGCTATTAATTATTCATACTTAATCCCACTTCTCCAACTAAATTTTGGGCTTTCCTCTCTCAGCAGATCTTACTGTATCTTAAAAGAGAAAACAGAACCTCACTTTACTGCTTTACTTTTTCTGATATCAGACTGAAAGACTGTTTTGGATTCCAACATCTTTATCTCTATTTCTACTTCTATCCTTACAGTCTATTTGATCAAAAAGCCCCTTTTCTTATATAACACAATCAGATTTGCAATTTGATCACACTACCTGGGTTTTCTTTTATTCATCTGGCATGTTTGCTAGGCCTCATATCTACTGAAGCTATCAGATTTTCAGATCTATTTTTTAAACTGAAGCAAAGTCATGCACTGAAAAGACATTGTGAATAATGGTTAGACACATAATTTTCAGCAGAAACTTTTAAATGTTCATGTTTCCCCTTAATTTAATTAATATAATGTATTTCTAATTCATTCATTTAACCAAATTTTATTGAGCAACTACTATGTGCTAGTTATTGTGTTGAATAAAAGGAAAAAAGTGAAAAAAACAAGACTTGGAATTCACCCTTTAGGAGTTTGGAGTATAATCTGTATTGAAATCACTTTTAGAAGTAGTTGTTTTATTAACAATTTCTTCACAAATTTTCATATATTCTCTTTCAAAATCATATTGACTTAAACACTTGGACATCAACTTAAAGAGGATATGGGGAAGAGCTAAAATCTACAGAGACTCAGATAGTTACAATTGTTTACATTATTGAATTGGGATGAATTTACAAGAAAAAATTAAATTGAGCCACTCACCTCTCTCTGTCAAGGGACAGATCAGTGAGGGGAGAGATTCTTAAAGAATATAAAAATATTTATTAAAAATAAAAAGTGAAGTATATTTTGCTTTGTTCATATCAATATAATTCAGTGGATTTTTAACCCTGCTAAAGACAAACAATTTGGAGAAAGCATTGTTTTTCCTATAAATGTTTCTGTTTTCAGTGGCATTTTAAATAATTCATTCATTCATCCGATATTCATTCAGTGCCTCTTTTGAATCCTCCTTGATTTATCCTAAAATGTTAAGGATAAAACAGTTGGTAAAAATCAACATTTCCTATCCTTAGTGAATTCCATTTTTGTGACAAAGACTGATGTTAATCAAATAATAACACAAATATTGTACTTGTAAAAGGAAAACTTTTACTATGGAAATTCTTGGTGTGATAAGAGAGTAAAATATAAATTTAAATGATCGAAGGGAGCTTGGAAGGCTTCTTTGAGGAAAGGATGAACATGTTCATGACTGAAGACTGGGAGGATGGGAAGGCATGCATGCTCAAAGGTTCTGTCTGCTCTTGCAGAGAAGATAGTACATTTGGAAAACTAAGTGTGAGCATGATTTCATTTATAAAACATTTTAAAAATAAAAAACCTTAAGTTGAAAGCTAAATAAATCTATTTCCTAATAAAAAGAGAGTTTTTAAAAAGATAGTATTTCATGAACAATAAAAAAATAAGTTAAATGGACTGACTTCGAATAGCATAACTACAAATAATAAGGCAAAACTGTTTATTTTCAATACTCCTGCTTTTGAAGAAATCAATGATTGCTTATGTTAAGCTGCAATCGGCACCTTTTTGGAATTTTCTACTTCCCAACTAGTCTGGACATTGAGCCTCTAAAAAAAATGTTTCTTCTATCAATTGCAGGCCATGGAATAAATTTTGGCCGCTCAAGCTATAAATTCTTAAGTGATTTCACATTATAGGTCCTCTCTCATTCATAGTTAGCATTAACAGTGGTGTAATTCACCAAAACAGATATCAGAATAAAATTACTAAGAGAAAGTGTTAAGTTGTTATTATCATAGCATTCCTATTTGAGCCTGAATTGAAAAAGACTGTTTAGCGTAGAAACACTTACGGAATAAGAATCAAGTTTATCCTCTTATTCTAACTAATTTTGGGTCTCAAATCAAATTAATTAACTTCCCTGGGGCTGACCTATAAAATAACAGGAAGAAGTTACAACTGAAAGTAATTCTGAAATATAAGACAAGGTAAAACAATCATGATTCCAAAGCCTGTTTTAAAATTTCAAACTGAATTAATTTTTGGTTTTCTTTGTCTTTCAAGATTCCAAAAATCATGACTAAACAATTCAATCATTCACTTTCCTATTACTAAAAATGGAAAATTGACCTTGATTATAGTATAGACTGAACCTATTATCTTTCAAGAGGGCAAATTTACTAAGCAATAAAAATCAATTGCGGCAGAAAGATGAACCAGAGATAAGAATGGGAAACTGTGCTTTCCTGGTTTTATTAAAACAGGTGATTCATTTGTAAATGTGAAAATCCCTCCCATTTTATAAGTCATCACCTGTAACTGGTGCACAGAAAGTACCCATTTACAGTGCATTTAAATATTAAATACTGTACTCTAGTGAGCCAGAAACAAAAACCAGTCTTCTCAACAAACTGTTTGAAAGGAAATGACAGCACTCTTCTTACTCAAGTTTAAGAACCAACAGCACATGTTATCATGAATAATGAAAACAGCAAGGTAATTGCTGAGGTGTTTCCTATAAATAGCTACACAACAAAAGGCAGTCTTTTTATTAGGAAAAATTCTTTAATTTGCACTGTATTTGTCTACTATAATTATGCACAATCATGCCTAATTAAAGCAGTGGGTCTCAGCCATATACAGTAGTCGCCTTTTATCTGGGGGGCAGTTTAAGATGTGACTGCAAAACTGGCACTAATTTATTTTTTCTTCTTCATGGTCTCATAAATAGAAGAGTCATTCTTACAGTAGATCTTAGCAACCTTGACATATGAATGTTTTTTCCTCCTTATGAGCCAAGAACCTTCACCTTTTCATTTGAAGCACTTTACAAAGCCAGCATCACTACTCTTGCACTTTGGGACCATTATTAAGTCAAATAACAGTGATCTGAATACAAGCACTGTGATACAGAGACAGCTGATCTGATAACCAAGACAGCTGCTAAGTGGCTAGGGCAGGTAGCACAGACAGCATGAATACCCTGGACAAAAAGGATGATTCACATCTCAGGCTAGACGGAACAGGACAGCTCAGGATTTCATCGCGCTACTCTGAATGTAGTGCAATTTAAAACTCAGGATTGGTTTGTTTCTGGAATTTTCCATTTAATATTTTGGATTGTGGGTGACCACAAGTAAGTGAAACGGTGGATAGTGAAATGCAGATGAGGGGGAACTACTGTATTTCTGGCTGTTCAATTCTGCTGTGCCTTGTGAGAGGGACTTTAGAGCATAAGAGAAGCAGCTGACAGGTGATTAACAAATGGTGCTTCTGCCTCCCAGTGCTATAGAAACCTGAGGGACACACAGGGAAATCAGAAGACTAAGTGGAGAAGGGAGAATCACAGACTGGGTTTTGTATTAGGTAGGTTAATATTTTTAATATGTCAAAAACTGCAATTCTGCACCAACTATTGCTTCTTTGTGACACTTATTCTTTACTTCTTTCACAGGATAGCAATTTTTCATATATTTTAGCCATTTTCTTATCCATAACAAAGTTCCATGAGGGAATGCCAAAGTCATTTTGTCAAACTCTATAGGGCTGGCTAGACCTTCACACATAATGAACATTGCCTTTTGTTTGGAAACAATAGCACATGTGGATTGGTGATAGACTCTTGGTGAACAAAGATTTCCTTTCATAAAGTTATCACCAAATCCGGGAAGTCAATAGTACATCCTGCTACTAGAAGATTGGCACTTCATTCTCTGGGAGGCATGGTCAAATCACGTCTTATTTGAGAATAATGATACATTTTGAGAATAACTTATTTTGCTTTTTAACTTATTCTGCTTCGAAGGTGATACTCTATTCTTTTTAGCATTCTTCATGTAAACTTATGCATCATCTAATTTTATTTTTTTCCCTTTAGAAAAAATTATCCAGAAGCTGATACCGTCTGTCTTAATTACCATCTGTTAATTTCCTTACCAAGTTCTGGAGATTAAAAATGGACACTGGAGGAACCTAAAGTTATCTTCCTGATTGTCAGGAAACATCTCAAAATCATCTTCTACCTGTGTGGCATACTCCCTCTGGTCAAGACCATGCGTGACAGAACCTCATTTTTTTTCCTCTCCATGAAATTTTTAAAAACAAAAACAAAAAACCAAAAACTAATGAGGGAATATGCACAATCAGAACGTTAAAAAGGCAGCTGTGTATTCCAAATCTAGAGTAGAGCCTAAAACATAGTAAAGTCTCAATAACTTAGTAAATGATGTAAGAAAACCAATAACTTCAATATTCACTGTATTTGGACATTTGGACAGAAACAACATATAAAAAGTTATGACATAGAGAAGAATAAAGATAATCTCCCTTATTCTATTCTTTAAAGTAGCATTTACAATTTTAAGAAAGAAAATTAGCTACTGAGCTGCCATAAGATATTGAAGTTTTCACATAAGTCCTGATTTGATCCTTACAATAATCTTATTTGGTTAATATTATCCTTGTTTTGCTCATGGAGACAATTGAGTCTATAAAAAACTTTCTTTCTCCCAGGTTGTACTGTTGGTAACTGGCAGAATCATAATGTAAACCCAGGAATTTCACTCAAACTCAGTTCTTTCCAATATCTTATTTATTCAGGCCCAGTAGGTAGGTAATAGGAAAAGTTATGTTGTGATGATGCTCTGAATAATTGTTAATGGAAAAACTGATTGGAAAATAATGAAACTTTACAGACTTATAAAAATTATTTACTTTATACTGCAATTAGAATATAAAATATAAATATCAGTGACCGCCTAAACTTCTCAGCCAGTTTGATTGCAAAATAATTCCCTATTGAAGTATCAGGAGTCCTTTCTTTGTTTACTCAGTATATTGCAGCTAAGGTTGTGCCCCTCACATCCATACAGAGTACTCCATAAATCCCTCCCCACCCAGAGCATGGGCCATGTACAATGACCAGCAAGAGTGTATTTTAAAGGCACCAATAGGACAAATGTATGTTTCACTTTCTGTCTACAAAAAAATCTGCCTCTCCAAAACCACTACAACCCTTCTCCTATGAAATGAGGACCATCTCATTAAGTTCAAAACATCCCTCTTCAATCCAAATGGAGCAAAGCACAGTGGGTGTACTGGATGCTCTCACCCAGGGTTTCATTAGCAGCTTTCACTCTACCTTTGTATATATTATAATTTTCAGTAAGCCCCCAATTGTTCCACTTGCCTGACTGAAACCTTCTCAATCTTGTTATTCTTCAGTGCTATTCTGGGAAAGCATCGTGTCAAGTGGGCAGTTCAAAGGATTGCCAGGTACCAAGGTCAACATGTTCTCAAAAGTCTCTCCTAAGTTTCTTTCCATTATAAAGTTCACTTCAGTTATGAGCTTCAGTAAGACCTTAGATTATGCATGCACCCACACCCACATGCGCACACACACACACACGCACACACACACACGTATATACTTTGTTTCCTAAATGTTTGTTGAGTCTTAGAAGATGTGTTTCAGGTACTTTTCCAGGCAAAGCTGACAAACTTCAGTAAAGAAAACAGAGAGCCCTACCCTTCCATAATATATGAAGAGTGGGGCAAGGTGAAAGAGAATGGGGAGGGTGTAGCTTATAATTTTAAATAGGGTAATTGCCTCACTGAGAAGGGACATTTGAATAAAGATCTCAAAGATGTGAGAAAATTAGCCCTCGGGATATCTGGAGGAAAAATTCAAAGGTCCTATAGTATAGGGATGTGTTGGAATAATAGCAAACAGGCCAGTCTGGCTAATGTATTGCTGAGAGACTGGTAGGAAGAGATTTCAGAGGATAAGCCTGGTTGGGTTACACATTCTTTATCTTTTTTTAATTTAATTTTTGTTTGTCAAATAATAATTATATGTATTTATGGAGTATAATGTAATGTGATATATGTATAAATTGTGGAATGATTAAATCAATCTAATTAACATGTCACCACACATTTATCATTTCTCTGTGTTGGGAACATTTAAAATCTACTCTTTTAGCAATTTTGAAATTTACAATACATTATTATTAACTGTAGTCACCATGCTGTGTAAGATAGCATGACAATTTATGCCTCTTGCCCAACTGAAACATGTTACCCTTTGAGTGACATCTCCTTTTATCCCCGTTCACCTCCATCTTCTGCCACCAGCCTCTGGCAATCACCATTCCACTCTTTATTTCTATGAGCTTGAATTTTTAAAATATTTTACACTGAAGGAGATAGGAAGTCTTTGAAATGCTTTGAGCAGAGGTTTTCCATGATATGACTTACACTTTAAAAGATCACACTGTGTTAAGGACAGACTATAGGAGACAGGAGTAGAAGAATATTTTACTAATTGAAGAGATGGTGGTGGCTTTTTCCCAGCAAGTAGCAATAGAATTAGAACCAAGGGATTTCCTGACAGGTTGGGTGTTAGAGAAATGGAGGGGTCAAGAATAATTTCAAGATGTCCAAGAGGACGTACGTATTTAGTGTCATAGAATAAACATTGTATATCCTACTTTACAATCAATTGCAGTCCATTATAAGTAATGAATGAATTCTATCAGAGAAATTTTACAAATGAAACACACATTTCAAACACAGTTCTTGCTTATTATTGGATATACAGTTCTACAATCTTCGAGTCTTTGTAAATGAATTAATTCTCCTCTAAGAAAGACTGATAGTAATCATATTTATTGAGTGCTCATGATGTACCAGGCATTGTTCCATGTTCTTTGAATTTACTAATATAAATGACCCTCATAAACCTAAAATATAAAAACTATTACTGTGTTATTTCATTCTCACGCTGCTAATAAAGGCATACTCAAGACTGAGTAATTTATAAATAAAAAGATATTTAATGCACTCACACTTCCATATGGCTGGGGAGGCCTCACAATTATGGCAGAAAGCAAAGCAGGAACAAAGTTACGTCCTACATGGCGGCAGGCAAGAAGGCATGGGCAGTGAAACTGCCCTATGTAAAACCATCAGATCTCATGAGACTTATTCATTATCATGAGAACAGCATGGGAAAAAACCCACCCTTATGATTAAATTACCTCCCACCAGCTCCTTCCCATGACATGTGGTGATTATGGGAGGTACAATTCAAGATGAGATGTGGGTGGGGACACAGCCAAACCATATCAATTATGATACTAATTTCACAGAGAACTCAGATAACTTGCCCAAGGTCACATGGCTTATAAGCTGTGGAACTAGCAACTAAACCAAGACAGTCTGGTATGAAGCCTACTGTCTTAACTGCTATGCTGTAGTATTCATTGTAAATAATTGAAATTGCCTAGAAATGTAGAGTATTAGATGAATTTTTTATCCTTATGCTTTACAAATTATTACTGATCAAGTGGATTGGCTCATTGATGTGTCTTTTTCTCAGATTTCCACTAGCATAAATAAATCGTTTATTCTTGCTCCACTTCAGTTCAATGAATTAATGCCAATAAAGAACATAGAACAGTGCCTTGCCTATAGAAAATACTCAGTAAATGCTAGTGTTAAGCTACTATGATATCAGTGATTTTTCATTTTATAACTTATTCATTCAACAACTGTGTTTATGGTTCCAATGTATGGCCAGGCGCTGGGTTTGGCAGTGGAAATATAATGAAAAATACAGCACTGTCTCTGCCTGAAAGAAGTTCATAACATATTACAAGGAGGTGTACTGCTTTCTATTAATACCATGCTCTTATCTCTGTGACCATACCATTTGAATGTATGGGGCTGGCTTCCATTTGCATCTCGTTTCCTGAGGGCCAATTCAGAAGCCATAAAAGATTACTCTTTGTCTGCCTCCTGAGAGGCCAGAAGAATAATTACACACTTACACACACACACACACACACACACACACACTTGCACACACGGTTCTATCTAGAAGTAGCCCTCATCTATTGGCTGAAGTGGGTAAATAAATACTACAGTTTCCTCATCCCCTAGTAGAGAGAATCCTGAGGCTTATATTCTACTATTGTTCAGAGTTTTCCTGCAGGACTAAACTCTAGTTGCCCACAGTAGTATCTGGCTTTACACATTTTGTTGACTTTCTCACTCTCTCACTTTCCCACTCCTCTACAATAGTATCCTTAGCTTACCTACAAAATTACTTACTTGTATTTGAATCATTACCTTTAGGGAGCCCTGCTTCTGAGGGAATCTTAACTACAATAGAGGGAAATAGGCATGTACATAAATAAAAAATCAGACATAGCTATTGCTCCTACAATGGATATCCATATTTGGTATGATGGAGATTTAAAAAAGATAACAACCCAGAAATGTCAATTATCTTGAGAATCTTAGAAGGCAGTGAAGAAGGGAGGGAGCACTCTTGGAAAAGTGGGGAGCTTGAGTATATACAGAGGAGAAAGCTTTTGTTAGTATGTTAGTAATTTCAGCACGGCTGCAACATAATAAGCAGTAGAGGGAGGAAGCCAGAGAGCTAGTCTGGGATACATCAGAGAGAGTCTTCCTTGTCTTGATGAAGAGGTTACACTTAATTTTGTAGACAATGGTGAGTTATTAAGTTAAACTTAATTGGTTTTCTAATCAACTGAGTAAAATTATGACATATAGTTTGCATTTTAGAAAAGTTAAATTTGCAGGAATAGAAAAGAAGGATTATAAGGTTCCCTAGATACATGAAGACAGGCCATCAGAAGAACAGTGCAAAGTATGAGGAAGATATGGGGAAAGCAGCAACCAAGTCAAAGCAAAAATGGAGGCAAGAATAGTGATTACAAATATGTTACTGAGGTATGGTCACTGACTATAGACACTTGGCGAGAAGATACAGTAAGGGAGAATAAAACAACCTGGGTAACTTATTTACCACTTGTTTTCATAACTGGGTATGTACATGTGCCATTCTCAAACATGGCAGAAACTGCAGATGAAATAGGCATTGATTTATGGAATAGGAAAGAGAAGCTAAACGATAAGGAATTCCGTTTTGAAGATGTTGACATTGAAGTATCTCTAGGACATCAGGGAATTGTTCAGTAGTAACGTGGTAAAAAGAGATAGAGATCTGGAGGTTTTCTAATGTAAGTATATATCAATCATCTGTTACTACACAACCACTTTAAACTTAGTAGTTTAACACAGCAAAGATTTTCCAATTCTATGAAGTGTCTAGGAAGTTATTTCCCTTGTTTACTTGGACTCATCTCTGTAGCTTTATCCAGCCTGGCAGAACTGGGAAGTATAAAATGGCCTCAATCATAGGTCAGGGGGCTTGGACTGGGTCATCTTTTCCATGTGGCCTTGCATCTTCCAGACTAGCTTCCTCATATGGTGAACTCGGACTCAAGGTGGAATCCCAAGAAGCAAAAGCAGAAGCCACTATGTCTCTTCAGGCCAAGGCTCAGGACCATGTGCAATGCCACAACTGCCACGTTTTAATGGTTTAAGCAAGTCAAAAGGCCAGACAAGAGTCAAGGGGCTGATGGCTCAACATTACATTTTAAACAGGCATCAACCGAGAAAGATGTGACTTAGTCAATGCCATGATTATAACAGACAACTCCAAAAGAGTTTTGAAATCTTGAGAGTATCAGCTTTGTAAGTAGGAACCAAATCAAATTTAGTAGTGGATCAGGAGCCAAATAAGATCTTTAGAAAGAAGTGATAGAAAGAATGCAAACAAAGAGAAGGGCCAAGGAAGCCAAGGGTGAAAAGCCTTTCAAAAAGACAAAAGTATTTAACACATCAAAAATCTTAGAAAAAGCTAGTAATAAGACCAAAAAATAAATAATTAGAATATGTTATAACTAATTATATAAAAATATTAATTGAATTTATAAGTTAGCATAGAAAATATGTTTAAGTACTTAATGTCTTATGAATGTGAGAAGACAGATTTTAAAATGTTCATACATATTTGTGGTATGATAATTATAAAAATGTGTTATGTATAGACTTGGATGAAAATCTTTGAATGTCATGGAACAAATATCAGCTCAAAGAGTAAAAAGGAAAGGTATACATTTTTCAAATGTTAAAAAAGAGCAGGCTTATTTTTTAATCTTGGAAAGGGGTATCAAATAATTATGATTTTCAGAATGCTATAACATTTTTACTAGACGGGAGTTACCACATGCTAGAATCAGCAGCCTTTACAACTCTATAAAATTTATTTAGTTATTTATCTCCTTCTAAAAATTGTATATACATTTATAGGGTACAAGTGCAATTTTTTTACATGCATAGATTGCACAGTGGTAAGACTAGGCAATTTACAGCATCCATCACCTGAATAATGTACATTGGACCCATTAAGAAATTTCGACTTACAATGAAAAATTTAGATGACAAGTTAAACATGGGTGAAGAGGTACATAATTTTCCAAACTCTTTTAGTGA
This sequence comes from Homo sapiens, assembly GCF_000001405.40. Classification (NCBI taxonomy): domain Eukaryota; kingdom Metazoa; phylum Chordata; class Mammalia; order Primates; family Hominidae; genus Homo; species Homo sapiens. Next base: position 91,312,642 of record NC_000004.12, on the reverse strand, counting down.
GTATGGAATCCAAGTTTAAAGTCCACCAGTCTGTATTGCGTGCTTTATGCCTTTTTTTCTTGAGGGCACTTTTTTAGTTTGTACTCTGGAGTTCATTTTTATGGTATTTGAAAAACACTATTTTCCACTGGTTGGTATGTTTCATGAAAGCAGGGATGATGCTAACTTTCGTTCACCAGTATATCCCTAGCAACCTGTGCAATGTCTAGCCTATCACAGATATACAGTATATGTCTACAGCTTAAATTATTTACTCAGCTTAATTCCAGGCAAAATTAATACATGTCTCATCACTCTTACCACCACATTGGAATCTCTGCCTCTTTCTCCTTGATATTCTTTTATACCTATAAGTCCTGCTGAATAAAACAGTGCTGCCTGTGGAAATTCATATTATCTTATATATTATAACTCTTGTAATCTAGTCATTCTTTTAGTAATACTAAATGATTAGCCCTATATTACTATTATTATGTTTAGAGATGACTTACTGTGCAACTAGAATATGCACTACAATATAAATTTGTATACTTGTTATAAACTGAACCTACTACTTAAAGCCAGAGCTCCTTCCATCTTGGAAGTTTTCACATGTTTGATGTTTTTTAGCTTTTCTATATTTTAAAAATCAGAATAATTTCCTCCTCACTTTCATTCCTACAAAACTAAATCATTAGTCCTGTTAGACAGGAGTTACTAACCAGAATTATAACAGTCAACAATGGAAGACAAAGTGAATAGTGGTTTTGAGTAACAACCCATGCTTTCATTAAATAAACATGTTCTCTGCATTATTGTCAAAAGGAAAATTTATTGAAAAGATGTCTATGTGCATTCCTGGATTAATTGTAATGAAACAGTAACTAATAATTCTACCTATATGGTATTGCAAATATGTAAGCTAAATTCATCACATGAGCATGTGGCACTGGCTTTAAGACCTATAGACAAGTCTCACTGTTTCAATGTCAGTTTATGATTTATAGATTATATTTTTAAAAAAATTACTAGAAATACAGACAGCTACTAAGGGTGAAAGAACTGAAAGGTAAATACATTAAGGTTACATTTACTTCCACCACAGAATTCTAATAACATTTGCACAAAGATAATAGGCATGTTCAATGAAATAATGAAATAAGTAAACTTGTTGTCGTTACTGCTGTTGTGAAAAATATTGTCTCTATTAGCATCTACTATTAGGAAAAAAATCTATGTCAAAGTGTCTTCATTTAGCAACAAAAACAAAAAGTCTCTAGTACTTTTCTGGCAGGAGAAAAACATTGTAATTTTGATAGCTCTTGCCAATAGCAGTAGGAATAACTAAATGCAGATAACTTAAAGTTTGATACCTAAGTTTGCAGACCACTTTATTAAATAAAGCAGACATATGCACAGCTTTTTAGCAGGTACTTAAAAGTCCTGAAAGCTAATGGTTAAAGAATTTTTAGCCAGGGATACATATTGCCACATGCTTAAGACAAGATTTTAACATATGTCAGATGAACCCTATCTTCTTCTGTAAATACATCATTTCAAAAGAATCATGTAATAGTTAAATGAAAGCAGTAGTATTATTAAAGAAAGTAATAGTTACAGTAAATAGTTTAATCAATCAGAAATAGTTATACATAAGCAGGTCTATTTTAAAAGTTATTTCTTCTAGATGATAATGGATTAGACCAGGGGAATCCAATCTTTTGGTTTCCCTAGGCCACATTGGAAGAATTGTCATGGACCACACATAAAATACACTAACACTAACAATACCTGATGAGCTAAAAAAAAATCACAAAAAAAGTCTCAGAATGTTTTAAGAAAGTTTATGAATTTGTATTGGGCCACATTCAAAGCTGTCCTGGGCCACAGATTTGACAAGATCAGATTAGACTTTTATTTCAAGGCAATACTATTACCTCCTGTCAGCCTTCTGATGGAAAAAAGGGTTCATGGCTCCATTAAGTCAAAAGAACATGTACCCTTAGCGAATTTATCTCCATTTTGGTAGAGAACAAAAAAGGAGTGTTAATTCTAATACCAGAATTAGAGCTTGGAATTCAGAGGGAAGTGAGATAGACCAGAGCTAGAAATGAGAGAATCTGGAATGGTCATGCTCATCGGGAAGACCATGTTCATCAAGGAGAAGATATCCTTGTCTTCTTCTTGACAAAGACAATTTTGAATGTGGCCCAACAAAAATTCGTAAACTTTCTTAAAACATTATGAGATTTTTTTTTTTTTTTGCATTGGTTTTAGCTCATCAGCTATTGTTAGTGTTCGTGTATTTTATGTTTGGCCCAAGACAATTCTTCTTCCAATCTGGCCCAGGGAAGACATTGTCATTATGCAAGAAAGCACAGCAGGGCAGGGAATAACAATGGTCAAGGCACGATAATAAAATGGCAGCCAATCAGGCCAATGTTGCAATTAAAAGGACTCAAGCCACAATCATGGAATGCAGAACACGGGATGTGGCATAAGAGTGTCTAAAACTAGCTAAGCTTCCACTCTAAGCTTTAGCAGGTGGGCTCTAATATGACTAGTGTTTTTATTAAAAAGGTAAATTTGGAGAGAGACAACCACATAAGGAGATTGTGAGGATTGGAATTGCTGCCACATGCCAAAGTAACTATGAGATGTTAAGAGAGAGGCCTGGAATATATCATTCCCTAGAGCCTTCAGAGGCAGGAAGGCCCTGCCAATACCTTGATCTTGGACCTCTAGCCTTCAGAAATCTGAGACAATAAATTGCTGTTGGTTAAGCCACCCAGTTTGTGGCCCTCTGTTATGGCAGGCCTGGGAAACTAATACACTAACGTATCATTCTTCCAAATCCAGATTCACATTGGCAAGATATTCCTCATAAACCTAAGGAAAAAATTAAATTCTTATATATTCCTATATATACATGAAAAGAATGAAAAAGACAGGTTGGCTTTGGTTTTACATTCCATTGCTATCTACGAGTGCCTTGGTTGTTCCTTGTAGAGTACAAGAGCTGCAAGCCTTTTATGTAGTATTGCTCTATAACATGTAACACTGTCTTAAGCAAACATTCATTTGTGGCAAGTCAATATCACAAATGAAATATTGTCTGAAGAAAAAGGAAAATCGATAACCACCTTTAGGGTCATTAAATTTTGATAAGGGTTTTCTGCAAACATCAGTATACTAGCAAACGGATTGTATGTTTCTCTCTTTCTTTCTATTTAATGAAATCTGTCTAGGAACCCACTTGAGCTCATTCATGTGAGCACGTGCGTGCACATGCACACAAACACACACACACATACATTTTTACAGAATCATCAGTGGCCTCCTTGAAGAATTTGTTGTTGGTGGTTTTATTTTAAATAGCTGTATTAACAAATATCAGCCTTGCCATTAGAAGGAAAAGAATAGTAAGCCAATGAGGTATCTGCATGTGCTCCAATGTCTGGACAGGTGGTTGTAAAATTAGAATAGAGTAATCATCTAAAAAGGACGGACAAGATTTAAAATACTCACTTTTTGTATTTGAAAATATGTTGCTATTTTTAAAAAAGAGGAGGAGAAAATACTTTAGAATAATATGCAAGGGAAAGAACTCAGCATGAAAATGAGAACAACTACAAAAAGTGTCCTTAAAAAAGGTAGGCAGCTCACTTTCCCATAGGGTTTAGGCCAGTAGCCTAAAAAGTAACCACTTTTTGACCATATTCAAATAATTTCAATTGTTTTCCATTTTATTAAGAAGTAAACTTAATTCATTTCTAGTCATAGAAAATTACAAATTATGTTTTATACATTTATTTGGTTGCTCCTGTGTTAAAAAAAATCTAGGGCTCCCAAATATTTCCCTTATATTTTTGGTGTCATTAACTTGGCAATACATTACTGTTGACTACATTCCACTAAATGGTTGATTAACATTCTTTGAAAAAATAGGCTAATGATGATTTGAATGTCCTGGGCCAGTAATTCCCAAACTTTTTGTTTATGTACACTTCCAAATATGTGCATGCTAGTGCAACAGCAAGGATACATTTTTCAGAACTGAGAATGCACTGAGCAAATAAGTTGTTAAAGGATAGCCTCTATGAAAATATGTGGCATAACAGGCATTGTTCTTTAGCAAAGATTCTTCTACTTTCTGTGTCCTGAGTTCCTAGTAGGCCCAGACAACACCGCTTGCTGACAATGTCCTTAAAAATGTTTGTAAATCTCTCCTACCTAGTGATTTGTTTATGAGGTCCATTATAACACCAAACGCTTCCACTTATGGAACATTTCCTTCAAAGTACATCCAGGTACCTAAACATTTTAATGTCTAGCATAATACTCTTTTTCTTTGTGCCTTCAGGGAAGAGTCAGCCCTGTCACTTGTAAATATTTTATCAATCATTATGAGATGAAACACTCACCAAAATATAAATGAAGAGGCCACAGTTCAGTAAACAGCAAGCCATACAGGACATGAACAGTGCAGTGGTATAAAATCTCTTTGCGTTCATCTACACTTTCAAATGTGTGCATACCCATCCAAAGAAGATGCCTTTTTGGAAATAAGAATAAAATAAACTTAGATTTGGGGTGGGATGATTATTTTCCAAAATTTTAGCAGTGAAGGGAACTAATATCTACAAGTAGAGTGTTTAACACCCAGATGCATAAAATATCCTTGGCTAAAGCATTTCGTAGCTCTCAGATCATGAGGAAAACATAAGATTACAGTGTACTCTAATGGGCCATTTAAAGACAGAAAGCATTATAGCATATCATTGCTTCATGGACCCATTAAAACGGGTATAAATGACCAATATTTTTAATAGCACTCTTGATGAATTTAAAGTTCAGAACAATACTAAAGTCAGCAACAATTACAATTCAAATGATATTGTACCAAAAGAACTTCTTATGGTTTCTATTTAAGCAGTTATACTGTTTTCTTTGTTTCCCTTCAGCAAGGAACTGTTCTTTTCTATTCTCTCAAGGAAAAGGTCTTTCAGGTTCCAGTAGACACAAGATTGTTTCACTTTCTTCTTACTCATTGTAAGTTGTGCCATTCTTTTACCACAACATATAACCTGCTTGGCAAAATGTTTCATCTGAAAAAACGTCAGCCATGGTATAAGTATACCAAGTTGCAGGGAAAATAAACTTGCTTACAATTTGCTTACAGTTGTAAAAATTTGCTTACAGCTGTAACAATTTGCTTAAAATTTAATAGTATAATGATATTGGGCTAAAAAACTCAAATAATGAGTTAGAAAATAATTCTCTAGGGACTAAAGAAAAAAAAGCATCATAGAAAAAGTTCTTGAAAGGAAATAGCAAGATAAGACTAGAGAGGATTACAAAGACAGTTATATATTAGATCTGTTCAGAATCCTTTTTTTTATTGTTTCATAACTTTTCTTCATGAAAAATTACTACACAGAGAGGTTATATGGGGATATATTCTATGAAAACACAGAAATATTTTATTAAGAGTTAATACATAATGGATATAACCACAACTCTTTCAAAAATCATTGGGTACCTAAAATCATGTTCATTTGAAAAATCATAGATTGTTGTGATACTTAAGAATGAAATTTTGATATCTTATAAAACATCATACCCTAAAGAAAAATCTTTAGCCCTAAAGTATTTCAACCAAGAATAATTGTAGTCTCTTCTAATTACTATTACAAATTATCTGAATGTTCTTTAGATGACACCAGCATCTCAGTCATTATGTGCCTTTAATAAAAAGTCAGACACCTTCCTCAGAGTGCAGCAGAAAAAAAACAAAAGGAATAAAATGACTTGCCTAACTAAAAGTTTTGTAAAAGTTGATTTAACAGTTAACCTAAATTAATAGCTGTGGTCAATTTGTATCTCTGTTACTTGGAAAATGGCATGCTTACACTTCATTGTGAGAACAGTGGAACATTAAAATATTTCTAAAACATTGAAATATAGTAAAATGTTGACAAATATTTTAGAATTAGACAATCATCTTGATTTTTTTCTTTCCAGCTTTGAATGAACCAAGTTTCAGACTTCCTTAAAGAATATACTCATGAATAAAGAATTAACGTGTTTAGGTATTAAGATGAGGAGCTTCTGCTTACAGATGACACTTTTACTATTGGTATATGCTAGTAAAAGGGAAGCTGACAAGTATAGAGGTTTAAAAAGAATCACTGAGGAAAACATTTGCTATTTACTTTCTTATGCTTTCAAAAAGCAAATGCTTAAAAACAAGCAGAATGTACTAATTCTTTATATTTTTTTCAGAAGAAGAATCTGTTTTAGAGAAAGCCAAAGCAAACCAAAACAAAAAGCTAAAGCAATTTAAGTCTTCAAATATGATCCAAGCATTTGAAACAAATAAACATATGAGGATTTTTTCTTCTCATGCCTTCACCTTTTCCTACTACTCTGGAAGGAAGTATTAATGTAGCTGATAACTCTTAAATTTGACTTCTCTATGAAACAAAGAAAAGAAAAAGTAATCATATATGAAAGGTTGGCAATGATGTTCATGAAAAAAATTTCTGTTATGGATTTTTTTCGTATACACACACACACACACACACACACACACACACACACAAACACACTGATATGGTTTGGTTGTGTCCCCACCCAAACAAATCTCATCTTGAATTGTAGCTCCCATAATTCCCATGTGTTATGAGAGGGACCTGGTGGGAGATAACTGAATCATGGGGGCATGTTCTCCCATGCTGTTCTCGTGATAGTGAGGGGGGGTCTCACAAGATCTGACGGTTTTATAAATGGCAGTTCCCCTGAACACGCTCTTCTGCCTGCTGCCGTGTAAGAGGCGCCTTGCTCCTCCTTCGCCTTCTGCCATGATTGTGAGGCCTCCCCAGTCATGTGGAACTATGAGTCCATTGAACCTCTTTTTCTTTATAAATTACCCACTCTTGGGTAGGTATTTATTAGCAGCATGAGAACAGACTAATACACACATGCACACACACACACACACATACATACACACTGACAAAAACAGAAAATAATTCAATTGGTCTACTTTCAAATAATTTATGAGCAGAAGACCAAAAATAAATGAAATGTATGAATCAATCATTAATTACAGTGTGGGAAGTATTTTACACAATGTCCAAAATATTGATTACATTTTATAGCCTTTCCTATGTAATGTTGTCTCAAGTTATTTGTGTTTTCATGCTTTACAATTAATTCCAAGTTGAGACATGCAAAGATACATATTTTATAAAAAAAATTTCTGCACCTTACAATTGCAAATAATGGCTTTTGAACTTTTCTACAAATATTTTGCATACCAAATGGATCCCATTTACTGTTATAGTCATTTTATTTTGGTTACAGGAATGTTCAGGGGCTTCAATTGTAAAATTCTTTTTTTTGCATTTTATAAAATGAATGAAATGTTAAATTGTGATAGCCTTTTTTACAAGTAAAAACAAACTTTTGAATGATTCTATAAACAATCTAATAACTTGAAAAGAAGTAATTTGATCATGAAAAATAAGACATACACTGAGATAGAAATCATATGAGCTGTCTGTTAATTTTTTCTTAGGGAGAATGAAAAGATTCAAATTATTCCTATGTGTTTGAGGTTTCAGATGTTTTATATAGCATTAAAGGTAAATCAAGCATGATGCCTGGCTGTGACAAAGAAAAATAATCTAGTTTAAAAGGAAGAGGGTGAGAAAATTTTGCCCTGCTTTCTACGGAAATAAGAAAAACATATGATTCACCATATAATTGAATTTTCTACTTTAGTATTAGTTCTAGAAGATATTTAATTTAAGTAACATTCTTTTAATATCTCCCTAATCACTTAGAAGGCATACGTAGTTTTATAAATGAAAACAATAAAATAATAAATACATATGTTTCCATTAACATTCGGGGATTGTATTGTGATTCATTCATAGTGTTAACAGTGTGTCCAAGTAAGCATCTGAAACAATATATGCTACTAATTAAAGGACAGTATATCCTGTGGTGTGAACTCTGCGATCTAATTAAATTCTGGCTGCCCTCCATTATAAAAGAGGAACGTATGTGATGTGTGAAAATGTGCAAATTAAAGTAGATTACTAAGTCCTGGAACTAATATTGGGTCGCTAAGGTAAGATATTTTTGATGATCTCAGTGTATAAAATGATGAGTCAAGGGATAAACCTCACAGACTATAGACATGCATATTATGGCAGATAATTTAAATTAGCCTGACAAAGTTAACTAATGTATCAAAAAATAACTCAATAGAAAGGAAAATTTAAGGCAATTGCCTTGCATTCTTATTAAACCTAATATTTACCAAATTAAACCTTTCCTTTAAATGTAAATAAACATAATACTAAAATTATAGATTTTTTTGTGGTTTTGTTATCTTTTAAACAGTTCTATTTAATCAACTAGCTTTCAATAAAATTTTGAATTTCATTTTAATTCACTATTTCCAGAGAGTTGCCATCAATAAAAGTTTTTTAGAACATTAAGGATTTTGAAATATGCAATTTAGTCGGCAAGATCACTAGTAAATTTTTCCTTCAGTTAAAATAGCAAAAGATGGTTTAATATAGAATGCAATTGACTCAGGAAGGGTGCTACCACAATATTTATAAGGGAACATTTTTTCTTTCCCTTAAGGCTTTTCTCAACAAATGTGTGAATAATATATATTATTTAATTAACAGACTATATTTTCAGATCTGTATTAGACTCTATATATCCTCCCACCCTGCTCCACAGTTTCCCTTATTAACTGTTTATATTTACATGATACAATTTTTATTTTATCCTGGGTAGTTAGTTTTAGTTTTGTTGTTTTGTTGTTGTTGTTTGTTTGTTTTTGGAGACAGGATCTCAGTCCATTGTCCAGGTTGGAGCGCAGTGGCAGGATCACAGCTCACTGCAACCTTGACCTCCCAGACTCAGGTGATCCTCCCACCTCAGCATCTCCAGTAACCTGGATTACAGGCATGCACCACTGCACCTAGCTAATTATTATTATTATTATTCTTTTTGTAGAGATGGGGTCTTGCTATGTTGCCAAGGCCGGTCTTGAACTCCTGGACTCAAGTGATCCTCCCACTTCAGCCTCCCAAAGTGCTGGGATTACAAGTGTGAACAACTGTGCCTGGCCTATATGGTACAATTTTTAGAAGTAAGGAACCAACATTGATTCATTACTAGTAACTAAAGTTCATAATTTATTTAGATTTCCTTACTTTTTGCCTATGTTCCAGTATTCCATCCAAAATACTACATTACATTTACTTGTCAGGTTTCCTTAGGCTCTTTGTGGCTGTGACATGGATTTTTTAGAAAATTCTTTAATATAAGATTGGCTTAACACCCACCATCATGTATCCCTGAGGCAATAGCAATGACTGAACTTATCAATTTAACTTCATAAGACTGCTTTCAGGTAGGCATTTTGAAAGTCCCTAATAAATCACTTGTATCTTGTCATGCATCAGGTGACTGGGCATCATTCTTAACATGAACTAGACTACTGGGATCATTTTATGTCCTCCCACAACATCTGGCATGACTGACAGTACTTACTTCAAACTTTTTTATTGATAAATTTATGGCTATTTATTCAAGTGGTCATTACTGAGTGATTGCTAAGTGCTAGACACTCTTGTGGCATTGAATATACGGTGATGAGTAAACCAGAAAAAGTCCTTGTTGTCATTGAGTTTATACCCTAGTTAGGGCAAAACGTCAAAAATTAGATAATTTAATAACATAATTTCAGATATTGATAAATGCTGTGAAAAAATAAACTATAAAATTTGCACCGATTTACAAATGACAAAAAAAAAAAAGATCTAGGGGAAAAAAATTACAGGCATAGAGAATAGCAGATATAAAGTTTTAAGGGATAAGAAAGTTTAGGAATCAGTCTAGTGTGGAAGGATGTGATGGCAGAGAAAAGGGAAAGTGGCTGGAAGTCAGAGAAGTAATAAAGGCCACACTAGAATAATAAGGCCTTTTAAGCCATGGTGAGAAGTTTGGATTTATATCACAATAAATAAGCCATAGGAGAATTTCAAATAGAGAGAGTTTATGTAGAAGGCTTATCTGATCTGATTTATGTTTTAAAAATATAATGCCCCTGTCCTGTGAAGATTTGATCTGGAGGAAACCAAGAGTCAAAAATAGATGATCAGTCAAGAAGTGATTATAGAAAAAAAATGGTTTTGCCTTGGATGAAAGTAGATGCAGTAGAAATAAACAGAAGTGGAAGGACTGAGAATGTCTTTTGAAAGTAGAGCTAACAAGATTTGCTGCTTAAAACAACGTTGCAGTGAAGAGAAAAAGAGGAACCAGAGAGTTTTCCTAGATCTCTTGGCGTGAAAACAGGTAGCTATTTACCAAGGCAAACCATGCAGAGGAATATATTCAAAGGTCAGAAGTGAGGATTTTATTTTGACCACCATGCATTTTAGATGATTGCATCTAAATGCAAATGAAGATATCAGTGTGGCAGTTCAATATATGCCTAGAGTTTGGGAAGAGGTCAGTACTGGTGATTCAAATTTGATTTTCACAGGGACATTATTGTCCTTTGTTGGAACTGAGTTATTATTAAGCAATATGTGTCAGAGCACCATTTAAGAAAGAAATAAACAAGGGAAAAAGGAAATAAACGAAGGAAGGAAGGAAGGAAAGAAGGAAAGAAGAAAGGAAGGAAGGACATAGAGTAACTGAGTAATTGAATCCAGCTCCAAGAAACAAGCAAAAGAGAAAAATCAATGAGAAGAAAGTGGTCCATTTTGACCTCATTGATTTTCACCATTCACAGAGCCCTGTTTGCCTCATCATTGTTGGTGGCTTAATTTACTTTCTATTTCTTTTTGTTGTGGTGGTGGATGTGCTACGATCTAAACCTTGGTGCTTTGTTTTAAAATGATTCTTATCCATTGGTGAATGTGACTTTCTCTAAAAAGTAGCAACCCGAAAAGTGAAGATAACTGCCATTAAAGGACATAGGTTTGCATAGAGAAAAACATATCAGTTGTTAAACCACAAGGGAGCACAAAGTTCTTACTTAATATATCCCTCTGTTCTATTTTGTACATATATATATATATATACTATATTTTATATATACATAGACAGAGAGGCAAATAATGACTCCACCTAAACACACCTATAATGAGAAACAATTTACTTTGTATAAACTCAGCATCAAAATGCTTATTAGGTGAACACATTTTTTTCCACTTGGAATATATGACAGTCATGTTATAGTAGATAATCCATGTATTAATTCTCCTTTTTAATATTGCAATTGTTTTAAAGCTGAGTTATGATTATAAATTCAGAAGTAAAGGTAGATTTTCTATTATTTCAGTAGACAATGTATTAATTAAAATACACATACTGTTTATATAAAAGGAGAATATCTATAAAGAACCCATGCAACTGTGTGGTAATCAGACAATTATGACCTTCTCCCATACTCTGCATAACTTTTACTTTTCATTTCATTATCCAGTAATAGTATATTTATCAATACCCATCTGTAAATTGTGCATATTATGTATGCATAATGTACAAATGCCACGCAAAGCCATCTTGCCCTAGTATTACTGAGAATATAATGTAAAAGTATTTCCTCTCAGCTAAATTTAATCTTCCTTTCCTTTTAGGATAAAGTGAGTAGCAACTGTATATTTTTAAAAACCTCCCTAATGACTCACCCTTTAAAAACTACCTTTACAATCAAAGGTAAAAGTAAACTTCTGGAATGTATCTGAAACACTGGTTGGAACACAGTTTGAATCAAAGAGGCTTAATGCTAACCTAGTTATCAAATATATCATATATCATTCATGTTATATAATTTTGAAAATTCTCTTTGGCGATAAACATTTCTCATAATAATCAACTTTACTTCTTAACACCAATTATAACTTCTCCCATTTTTTTTCAGTTGCCAGCAGTACTTAGTTAAAATCTTTCAGAAGTATCCTAAAAATATCACCTTTCTTGGTGATATATGAAATAAAATGTATTTTTAAATAGTATCCCTCCAAATATGGACTGGTGGAAATCATTTTTAAAATATTGGAGTAATTTAGTTGTTGTGTTTGAATAATTGACTATATTTTAAGGAAGAACATTAAATTAGTATCTACCTGAGGCATATGTCTCAGCCTCTGAAAGCAATTAACTCTTTTATATATTTCCCTAACAGTACTGATAGTGGCTTCATTTTCACTGCCATGAACACACATTACTTTTATTTCCTTGGCACTAAGAAATGGTGCCTTCGAGTCTTATTCAGAGTTGTAATTCATCTAAAATAATGAGTAGATACCAAAACTAGACATTTTAATAAACCATTTTTATAAAATTCCCATTATCAAAAAGCTGTTCCCACAGCAGATAACAGAAACATAAAATTGCAAATAATTATAGTTCATATATGTGATCATATAAATATTGCTTGTAATAATTTTATAACAGGCCTCCCTGATATCCCTGAAATTGGTTACACTGAAAGACTCATTAATTCTCTCTTCCAAAAGGATTATTGACTTCCTGAGTCTGAAAAGTACTCCAAAGTCAAGGCAACAAAATGGCCCATTACTTCAAAAGAGGTGGAAGCCACACTAAGGTAAAACATAATTCCGAGCTGCTAACTTGGCAATGTTTTGTTTTTTTGTGTGTGTTTCTCTTTTACTTCTCGCACGGTGTCTTCCACTAGAAATTAGATATCAGAGTAGCAAGTCGTTCATTTAAAGCAAAAATTATTTATGGCAGTATGATTTTAAAGCCAATTTTAACTTAGTAACAGCATTTAACAACATTATGAGGACTAATATATGTATTTAAAAAAAAAAAAAACTTTCAGGTAGAAAAAGTCCCTGCTAAAATTTTTTATTGTGACTTTTACAGAAAGGTACCATTTGTCAATTTTGCACATGCATATAAAAAATCAGTTTTTATTTGTTAGAAAGATGCATAGAGTATGGAAATATCCTTGTAGTACTATTTTCTTATTTACGCTGTATGGCTGGTACCAAATAAAAGACTGGAATCAAACTAGTTAGCTTTGAAATCTCAGTTGTCACTACCTCTACTTTTTCATCTGCAAAAAAAGGGGATGATAATAATACTGACAACTATCCCATAGGTAAGTACTAAATAAATTAGTGTAAGTATGATGCACAGATAAGTCCTTGACATATTGCAAGTACTAGATGAATGTCGGCTATTATTATTTTGACTACCAAAAAGGTATAGTTGGGCCTTTAGTAAATGAAGTCAAACAATAATTTCTCAAGTGAGATAATGTTTGCATTTTTTTAAAAGACAGTTTAACTTAAAAATCCACAGATATACCATTTGTACCTCACAAATGTAGCATATTAAGAAAAACAAGTATGCTTTAATTCAGTGTAATCTCATCAAATTTGTGTCTGCCTCACTCTTAAAAGGGCATTATGGAGCTTAAATTTTACCATAATATTTAATATTTTAATATATGCCTATAACCACTGTTCTTTTATTTAAAGCAGTGGTTCACAAACTCTAGCATGTATAAACATAGAATGTTTAACATAGCCTGTTAAACATAGAATGCAGAACCCCACCCACAACATTTTTTATTTAGTAGGTCTGGGTAGAGGTCCAAAGTATTTGCCTTTCTCACCAGTTCACAGATGCTGCTGCTGCTGGTGCTGCTGCTCGTCTAGACACCACACTTAGAGAACCACTGTGCTAAAACATATGGTTGATTTTCCCCCTTTTGGGTTTTGGGAACTATGTAGTCAGCTATTACCCAGCACTTGTGGAGGATTTTGTAAAAGCTGGTAATATGTGAGAGCATTAAGTTTGTCTGTGATCTCTCTGTTTATTTGGTTCTGTATATTAGGACTACATATTGTAGTCTTACAGGCCAGGATGCCTCCATGCTCAACAAAAGAACTTGCCAAAGTTTAACTTAAAACTGTAAAGAAGGTTTTTTTCCTATGATATTTTTACTCTTACTTTCATAAATATTTTGCCCTTCTTAGTTAGTCTCCATTCCCACGCTCTTGTATGTTCTAAGTGCTTTTTTGAATTGGCCTGAATCCTGGAAACCACATTCACCATTTTCCCTTGCCATCAGAGTACAGCATGTGTTTTAGACTCTGCCAAGGATGAAATAAAATTTTGAAGGTAAAAGGAAGGCAAAAGGCCAAGGGCAGGCCTCCTTTAGCAGGAATGGTGGCTGACACATAGGCTCCCACATACGGCATCATATTCTGCTATGTGGTCATTTGAGCTCTGGGCAGCTGTGATGTTCACAGTGGTTTTCTGCAGCTTCCAGCAACTGCATCTTGCCTGTGGTGGCAAGAATGAACAATGACAGGTGTCCTGATTTCCAATTCAGCAGCACTTCCAACAATTTTGTAATTTCCAATTTAAGTAGTATCTAATACTTGCACGGAAATCTGACTGATCCACTTTTCTAATACTTATTTCTACTTGATAGCCCCTTTACTGTATCTCATAATCACAGTTAATAGTAAAACTCTTTATTATTTGTCATCCCAGCCATTTTCATTCAACATCAAATTCATCAGTTCCCTACTTATGCTTCTCCATGTAGGATTTTTTCCTTCTTAACACTACCTATTATTATGCTTTGTGAATTCCTTGAGTTTCCTAATTAAGTGAACAAATTTTTATCTATTTTATCCACATCCATGCAATTCTCATGCACGTCTTTCAAGGTCAGGCTCTAGATTTAACATCATTGTGGCTACAAACTGCTTATTCAAAAAATACTGTTTTTACCACTTTTCCTCAAGTACCCCAATTCTCCTTTAAAATGGTTTTTCCTTTATACATGGTATTTTCCTTTTTTCATTTGTTGGTTGGCTGTCTGCTTACATACTGTCCTTATTTCTATTGAGAATTTCACCACATGATCAAAAGTTTTCTATCCTTTGGCAATTCCTGCTGTCATCTAGGTGATTTTACCTCCTATTTTCCAGTCTAACCTTGAACTTTTCCCTTGTGTGACTTTTGGCCCTACTTCATTCAGTCTTCCATGCCCATGGGTGCAACCTGGATCCTGTCATTGTCTGAAATTGCTTATTCTACAAAATATTAAACTCAGAAATCTAAATCTTTTACTTCATATACAATTATCTCACCTACTCTCATCATACTAGAAGATTTTTTCTCCCTCCTTATCCACATCTGTCTCCCTAACACACACACACACACACACACACACACACACACACACATACACACACACACACACACAAGCATCCATTCTCCTCAGGTGAGCAGAACATTCTTGGCTTTTTACTTTTTTCTTTGGGGAAACTGTTTACTGCTATCCTGCTCTTGCTGTTTCTGCAGCCTGTTTTTAAAATGTATCTGTCTTTTTTACAAACATAACATAAGTTTATTAAAAGAGAGGAGAAGAAAAAGGTAAAATGAAATGCTAAGAAATTTCTCAGAGGATATACACTCTTTAGCCAAGACTCTTCACTGCCTAACCAAAACTTACTTTCCAAGCCTCATTTAACCCTGAACATTCCTTTACATTCTTTGCTTAATTTTGTCTTCTGCCTGGGATACACTCATCTCTATAGCAACCACTAGTCCTCTTTAAGGATTGCTGGCAATATCTTGTCCTGTTTTTTTTTAACCCAAAATCTTCACAACATTTTGATGTATTTTTTAAAAAATATAATATTCATTATAATTTGAAAAAGAAACCAGATAAAAATTCCTTTTTAAAAACTGTGCTAAGTAAAAAAGATGGGTGCAGTAAATAAACTTGCATACTGTGTCATTATTTGTGGTTTTTGGTAGATTTTAAAAAATCCCAGTCTGGTAATAAATTCCCTCTAACCTTGTCAGTGATTTACAATGTATAGAATACATTGAATTGAAATTGTCTGGGATAGTATTTAAAGTTCTTAAAATAAAAGAGATGATACTATTTGGGAAGAAGTACATATATATTTATCTTACATACTTATATATATACACACAACTATATATACCTATATATTCAACTATTATACACATAACTATATGTTAACTATATATTAACATATAAAGCATCTATAGTTATATTGTTATTTTTATATCTATATCTATAATTATACAGATAACTGTATATTTAATTAAAATATATATATATATATATACATATATATATATATATAATGTTAGACACTTCTGTTTACACCAGAAAAATATGAAGACTTTACTATGCTTTTATACACTGTAAGTCTCTAGGAGGGAAAAATTATAGTATATGGGATTCCCCAAAGTGATTTGATTCTAACTTCTTCTCCCTCCCTTTAAGGTTATGTTTCTAAGGGAGTGGTGTTCTATGGAAAAACTTAGAAAGCTTTTTCTAATAAAATGAGCTTTCTCTTTTTTTGGCTGCCAGAAACTTAAGCCACATTCTTTGTTAATCTTAGTTACCCAAAACCATTTGTACTTTGTATACACTTCACTTATGATTACTTTGTTTTAGAAAGGCATTATACACTCAGACTTGAGACAAACTACCTGAAAATTTGTGTGACTTCAAATCTGATTTCAAATTAAGATTTTGAGGAATGACTTCAATATTTCATTTCAAAAAGCCACATTATCATGGAAATACTTTGATAGACCGCTATACTTATAGAAGGCATACATCTTTATTTAGTTACTATAAAGTCCCTAGGTTAAAGATTTTTTGTTTTAATTTGTATTTTTTTCTGCATAAAATATCCTAATACAAAATATACTCAAATGGCTTTTAAAACAGCTATTTATATCAAATTACTGAGACATACATAAAAACACAGGAGGCTGATTCATGGTATGATGCGTAACACCAAAGAGCAAATAGGAAAACTGTGATGTGCTATCATCATGAGCCACTCTTCTCTAGAATAATGACAAAAAGAGCAACAACCAGAACAAACAAACCTAGAGGTTTCTCTTTGTATGCATTATGCAATATCACATATGCATGAATATAAATACATCTTTATAACTCTCAGATTTCTATGTTTTCTAAAATAATTGTTCATGATCTTTGTAAAATAATAAAATTGATATTTTAATTTTTCAAAATATTTACTTTCCCATATTTCAGTAATTAAATATTAACGTTTCTTCAGAAAAAAATATATAACCATTTAGATAACAGACTTACTTTCTAATAAATTTTGTACTCAAAATCTTTATGGTATTTTTGGAGACTAACTGTAGTAAAAATTTTGCCTCTTTACAAACAATACTGTATTTCTTTAAAAATTAATTTCTTGTATATTTTGTCTATCTCACTTTCTGATACAAGAAGAAATTTGTAATTCTATTTATATCCTATAAAAACTAAGATCCACTGCATTTACTTGAATTATTTCATTTTGCCATTTTCAAAATTATAAACAATACAGAAAAATCTCTAACCAAAAAGGTAGTATTGGTCATATATTTCATTAGATAGCTTAAATCATATTTTCTCACTGTCATTATATTGAGATAACATTGCTAGCTTTTTGGAAATTAAAGGGTTTGCCATATTCCACTACTGTGTAAGCAAGCACCTAAGGCAAGAACTGTGTTTTAGTCATCTTGTTAAGAGTATCGTCTTCTACCTAATATGATACCTGAACCATATTTGTTGTTATTGAGTTGGAGTAGAACAATGAAAATAATTTGTGCAATAAAGTCAGGAAAAGAAATTTGAATTCTGACTCTGGCATTGTACTCTGTCTGTAGCATGCTGAATACACACTCCCAAAATATATGTACAACTTGGAGCCCTTGATACCTTAGTTGGACTCATTTGAAAATAGGATCTGTACAATGTAATTAGGCTAAGGATGTTTAGATAAGATGAGATTATCTTGGATGAATCCTAAATCCAATGAGTTTATGAAATTAAAAACAAGGGAAGTTGGAGGTATACACAGGAAGAGCCATGCGGAAACAGGGGGAGAGACTAGAGTAGTGTTCACAAGCCAAGAAACATCAGGAACCCCTGACAGCCTCTAGAGCTAACAGATGGGCTCAAAACAGACTCTCCTTCAAACCTCCAGAAGGAACAAACCCTGTTGCCATCCTGATTTTGCATTTCAGGCCTCCAGAAGAGAATGTATTTGTGTTGTTTTAAGCCACTGAGTTTGTGGTAACTTGTTAGGCAGGCCTAGGAAACTAAGACAAGCAGATAGTCAATAAGAGAGTTCGACATATTATTTTAAAATGGGACAAGGTTTCACTTTTCGGATCTATCAGGAAGATTAAATAACGTATTAAGTCTCCACTAGAATTTCCCAAATGATCTTGTCCAAAACATGCTTCTGTTAGTAAGGTGTACACATATAATTTGTACAAGTTTGCACAAACTATAACCCATTAAAAGGAAATTTTCACATATATTTCTATATTGCTGATGATTTAGAAATGAGTATCATAAAAATTCAACTAAATGCAGCAAATATTATTAAGGAACTATAGTTTCTTTAAGAAATTTAAATTACTTGTAATATCAAGAAGTCAGACACACAATTTTCATTTTCTTCCCTGAATGCTTGACTTCTTGACCATTCCATTACAGCTACCCACAATAAATGAGCGACCTCAACATGAAATGTAGAATGAAGGAATAAAAAAAAAGAGGGCTGGGGAGGATGAAAAGGAAGACTCTAAGCTCTTAACTCCTGAAAGGCCAGAGGAAAGCTTTCAGAGTACATAACTTGAAAAGCAATTATAGCCTTAAATTTTTGCAGATCAAACAAATATAATGTAATTTTTAAAGGCTTTTAAACTTGACAGCCTGACCACATAATATCTTTTGCTATTCTTTTTAATGTTTTGCCTCTTTTGGCTATTCCTTGACATGAGAACAAAGAAACTCATTCTCTGGTTTATAATAAATAAAAGTTAAAAAAAAATCACCATAGATCCCACTTTCTAACTTAAACAACATCTTGCAGAAAACAAAATTTTAAAAAGACATACAGAATAAAATGTAGAACTACTTCAAAACGTGCATTGAATGCATTCTCACCAACAAGTTTTTATAGAATAACCTCAATGTTCAATGCATATTTACTTATAAGGGATGATTTATTTTCCTTTCCCATGTCAATTGAAACAAAAGCAGTGGTAAACAAATAACATGTTATTCATTTGGTGTACTAATTTACATTTTATGCATAAAAATAATACATTAGAAAAAGACTCTTAATAGAAGGACTTACCTTAATCTGTTCAAGTTAAATTTTACAACATTGATAATAACAAAAGACCCTCAATTAAGTGGTTGCTGTACATCTATGTGTACCGAGTTTCCAAATGCTATAAATACCCAAACGACAGACATTAAGAAAATAAAAGATCTATTTATATATGTACACGTGATTCTAAATGACAGTTGGCCGGTACAACAAGGGTTGTAGTGGATGGTGCTGAGTGGGAAAGGAACTCTAAGGAATGTTCCTGTGAGGGTCTCCCATGAAATCTGATCTCAGTGCATTTTTTTTGTCTCCAGATTTTACATTTATTCTTTTCAAATTTAAAAACAGGCAAATTATTTTTTATAGACAGGCTTATCTAAACAAGTTCATGTGAAAGATGTCTAAAATTCAATGTTAATTTATCAGTTTCTAATCTGAATTGTCACTGCTGAAGGAACCGTATACTTAAGGGTCCCAGGTCCCAGCCTTATATTCTCTCTGTAGATGTCATATGGGAGAGGAGATAACAGATCATAATGAGAGGGGTACATATGGAGCATGGAATAGTATAGACAAGTGGATACTCAAGCATTGAGCTCAGTTAACCAATACCTTCATTTCCACAATAAATAAAAATGATTCACCTCCTGACTTTTTTAAAATTTATTTTTGCTCTGTTTTAATGATTCTTAAATGCTCCACTTCTGATGGATGCCTTCTTTCTTTACATATTGTAATACATTGAGGCCTAATACAGCTACAATTTAAGGGCTTGCCATTCATATCAGACTTCTGCAATGAGTTGAAGTCCCTGATCTGCTTGTTCTTTAAGAAGCAAAGCAAAACAAAACAAAAATTATCTATATTTATTTCCAATTATATCTAATTATTTGATATAAAGATTAGATCATAAGTAATATTTACCTCATTTCACAAACAAATTGAAGAATGGACTTAAAATAGCTTATTTTGGGTTGTCTGAGTAATCTAGCGTAAGCATAATTAAGTTCAAATTATTTGAACATAATTTTGGACAACTTAAAAAAAACAGAACCCTGAATTTTAATAAAAATTCAGTGTCTTTTGCCTTAAAATGATACAAAGCTTATTCAAACAAGAGAAATAACAGCAATATTCATGAATTTTGTTTGATTTATAACAGACACTGTCTTTTTCACACACTGCAAGGGAATCTTTCAGTTGTACAAATACCCAGTTCTCTAGCTCTGTGGACCATGTACATACAGCTCCTCAAACAAGCTGTGTTCTGGGTTCTGCCAGGCCTTCCACATGCTCCTGGACTTGCTCTTGTTCACATTCAACAACTAACTTCTATTCGCCTTTCAAGAGTTACTCAGGCATCGCTTGCTAGTTTGATAGAGGAAAACTTTCCAAATTTAGGGGGAAGAGGACATGATGCTTTAACAGAAATATTAAAGAAAACAACCTTGGAAGAAAAAAATGGGACAAATGAGTTAGAAGTCTGCGTTTATCACAAAGTCTTGGATGTTGGGTAAACCAATTAATCTTTCAATAATTTATCTGTGATGTGGATGGACTGGAATCAAGAATCTCTAGGAACATTTACAATTATGTATTGTCAGCTCATGGCAATTTCTCATGCTTTTCTTTACTCAGAGCCTCACATGCTTTGAATCTGTGTCCCCGCCAAATCCCATGGCAAATTGTAATCCCCACTGTTGGAGGTGGGGCCTGGTGGGAGGGGACTGAATCATAGGGGCACTTTCTAGTGAATGGTTTAGCACCGTCCCCTTGGTGCTGTTCTCGTGATAGCAAGCGAGTTCTTCATGAGATCTGGCTGTTTAAAACTCTTTGGCACCTCCCTTCTCTCTCTTGCTCCTGCTCCAGCCATGTGATATGTGTGCGCCCCCTTTGCTTCTGTCGTGACTGTAAGTTTCCTGAGGAATCCCCAGAAGCCCAGCAGATGCTAGCATCATGCTTCCTGTACGGTTTGTACAACCATGAGCCAATTAAACCTCTTTTCTTTATAAATTCCCCAGTCTCGGGTGTTTCTTCGTAGCAGTGCGAGAACTAACAAATACAGAGCCTTTGAAACATTTTACACATTCTAGAAAAGTAATAACAGATCAAATTAAATTTACCCTCAAAATCCATGATATCAATGGGCCCTAACTGCTAAATCTAAATTATATTTACTAATACATTTCTTCAATATGTTGCCTTAATCTTGACTTTAATTTATGTTATCAGTGATCTTATTACCTATCTGCAAGCTTTAATAAGGAAGGATCCAACACTTTAATAACGCCAGCACCGTCTTGGGTGCTTACAGATATTTATTAATACTGTGAAAGGTAAAATATTTATAAAATAATATATATAAAAGAAAAAATTGATTTTAATAAGAGGTGCTAATTTAATAATCAAAAAGTCAAAGTTCTAAGAGAGTATTCTGATTATTCCTAATTATTAAAAATGGTAACTTAATTTACTAGTTAGCTCATTAATTATTTAAAAGGAAAATATAAAATCAAGACATTCTTTTATTTTGTTTTAGGATTAGCCCACAACATGTCTTATCTATTAAATTTATTTATTCAATTTTCAATCTTTAAATGTTATTCTGTTTTAGAATAATTTCATAATAGGCAAATGTTCTTTGAGTAATGAAAAGTTTAGTTAGCACATATGACAATGTAAAATTAATGTTGAGTTTCAAACAGTTCAAACATTTGAATATGTTTTCTATAGAAAAAGAATATGTTAATTTTGGTAAGACAAAACTGTAACAACATGAAATACATACTATAATCATTGAGGTATAGAGGTATGGGATAGTAAAAGAAGTACTAGATCATTCATATTTTAATAGTTCAGTATTGGTTCCTGCCTCTCCTCTGTACCATACTGGGTGCATATTTTCTGTTTCATCATTAACTTTTAATATATTATAAAACTGTATTGACAGATAAATGTACACATATACACAAATAAAAAGAAATGTCTGCAAGACAGCTACTGTAGAGGTTAGAGGCATAAACTACAAAAACACTGGGAATATGGTCATTTTGGTAATATCTTAGCAGCAAATATAATTTAAATAAGGCCACACATTAAATCACAACATGTCATAAATTATATATAAATATAGCACAGATATTTATGTAAATATTTTTAAAGCAAAGTTTTCATTTCATTCATTCCACTCCCAGTGTTAATTTCTTCCCTTAACATTTCTCATAGTGCAGGTTTGCTGGCAATACGTTTCTCAGTATTTATTTGTCTGAGAAAAACTTCAATTTCCCTTCCATTTTTGGATGATATAGTTACTGACTATAGAATGTTTTGTAGCTAGCTTGTTAGTTTATCCCTCTCAAAACTTTAAAGATGCCACTTCATAGCTTACAGAGTACCTGATGAGAAGTCTACTATAATCCTGTCTTTGTTTCTTTGTAGATAGCATGTATTTCTCCCTCTTCAGATTACCTTCAGACTTTTTCTTGTCTGATTTTCTACATTTTGAATATAATATGCCTGATTGTGTTTTGTTGTTGTTATTGTTTTTTATCTGTTTGTTCTTTAAGCTTCTTGGATCTATAATTTGGTATGTGCCATTATTTTAGAAAATTTGTGGCCATTTTTCTCAAACATTTCTTCTTTATTGTTTTCTCTCTTCTTCCATTGGGATTTCAATTACAAATAAATTAGATGACTTGATATTTTTCCACAGCTCCTTAATGTTCTTCCCCCATCCCATAATCCCACCACATATTTTTTTCCTTTTGTGTTTCAGTTGGGCAATTTCTATTGACCTCTCTCTTCAAGTTCATAATTCTCTCCTTGGCTGTGTTGAGTTTACAGATGAGACCATCACAGGCATTCCTCATCTCTGTTACTGAGCTTTTAATGAATTGAATTTCCACTCAATTCATTCTTACAGCTCTAACTCAGTAATTAGACATCTGTTCTTTCATGCTGTCAAACTCTTCCATTAAAATATTTAACACAATAATTGTAATTATTTTAATTCCCCTTGTTAATAGTTCCAATATCTTCATAATATCTGAATCTGATTCTGTTGATTCTTTTATCACTAGGCAGTGCTTTGCTTTCTCTTGCTTCTCTGAATGCCCCAGAAATTCTGTGGAAAGCAGACATTTTATGTAGGACATTATAGACTTTAATAAATCAGCTGTATGCCCAGAAATGAGCATGCTTTTCCTTCTATGAAGCCTTTAGTGTGGGAGTCTAGGTCAATAAAGGCAGGTGTTGAGCTGGGTTTGTTATTGTTGCTATGGTTACCCCCAAGCTTAAATTTTCTCTAACAGTACCTTGCATTTAGAATAGTGACTGGTTTGTCATAGGGTTTTTCCTGATGTAAGTCCCTCCTTTGGCTTTAGGTCTCTCCTTTGCACTGTGTTTCAGAGAAAATCTCTTTCCACACTCTTGTGACTTTCCTAGTCATATCCCATTGTTATTTATGACTCAATCGTTATTAGTCTATAAAACAAGAAGGGAGGCATTCTCTCTTTCTCTGATCAACTCTAAGTCTTAAAGCAGGCACTACGTTCCTGGCTGTCACTGATGTGGCCTTCTCAGTACTACAGCCTCTCCTCCACCTGTGGTTCTAGGCCCATCATGTATTTTTGTATCTGTCCCAAGAATAAATGATCTTTTTCTGCTCCCTTCCCCTAGCTGCAATGGATTTTCACCAGGGTCCTAAGAGTGACTGTGTTGTTGCTCTTTCCCCTGCATTTTAGGCTTTTGTTTTGAATGGATAAAGGAAGGAAGCAACAGAATAGAGTTTTGTGCCTTTCTTGCAGTAGCTGTTGTTCCCTTCTTCAAGCCTTTAGCACAAGGGACAGCTTCTCAGGAATCTTGCTATTATTTTTATGTGAGCATTCAGTGAGGTCTATAAAGAGCCTGTAAGCAGGTGCAAATTCTCACCATATTTATATTTCCTTCCTATCTCACACTTGACTCATTGATTCATTAACCTTTTTGTTGTTGTTGTTGTTTTTGCAAAATTCTATGTTCTGGCTGTGTCTGCTACAACTGGTCTCACCTTGTCAGTATCTATCTTTACTTATGTACAGGTTAGTTGGTTGCCGTGTGACTTTAACTCTCTGATGGTTAAAGAAAAATTGTGAATTTGAATTTTCTCCAGATTTTGTGTTGTTATTATAAGGGTATGAACAATGTTCTTTACAGCTTTCTACATCCTACGCTAAAACCAGAAGGTGTGTGTGTACATATGTGTATGTATGTGTATATGTGTGTGTGTATGTATATATATATATACGAGTGTATATATATATACATGAGTGTGTATATATATATATCCTATATATATATCCTATATATATATGAGTGTATATATATATATATCCTAAATAAACTCAATAGCCTAGAATAGTAATTACTGTTGTTTATATATCAAAGAAAATGTCATTTATTTTTTTTCTTTTACCAGAACAGAGCATAACTTTTACTCTTTAGTAGCTCAAAAATGGTCAGCTCAATTACATGTAAAATCATTACTGTGGTCTCAAAAGAAAGGCAATATTCAGAATTTGCCTTCCACAGGATTATAACACATATTGCATTTTTCCTTTGTGCCTTTCCCTCTTTCTAGCTATCTATTGTATTAGCTTAGCCTCTTCCTGTGGTATGTGGATGATTTTATCATGCCACTTAAAACTTTTCCCTGCTCTTCACTCTCTGACTGAAGCCTACCTTCTGAAGATTAGAGCTTCTTTAATCCTAAATACATATGTGCACTTACATGTGAAGTTATAGACACAATGCACTTTCTTTTGTTCCCTAAGAATGCACAGTCAAGTAGGCATTGGTTTACTCAGGTTTGAAGCAACCTTACCAGACAGATTATCTGAAGATATATTTCAAACACAGTTACAGGAAAAGTTATGTTAGTCCTCACTACTGTGGAAGCTTGGTCCTATCCTGTTTATAAGCCTGGCAAAGAATGAAGAAAACAAATAAAATCAAAGCTATATCTAAAATAGAATGATAAATAATGCAAATACATTGTGTGGAACAGTAGATACAGAAAAAAGGGAAATGACAGGAAATAAACTGATTAATTGAAAAGAAAAGGGAATAAATCAGAAGGCACAGTACAAAAACTAGTCAGAAACATCTGTTCTTACAGACACTTATTAGAACTATTTTTTCTGACTTTGAGGTTAGTATTATTTTCAGTAAATACATTGTTTTCCTGACTTTTTTCTTGAATTTTTTGTGTTCATGAATTCTGAATTTAAAAATTGCTCTTTAGTAGGAAAAAAACTTGACTGGAAATTAGGGTAGGTATGTTTTTAAGGTACCCCACTTTAAATATATAATTTCAGTCCCATTTGTGCTATAAAATAACTGCTATCTGATTCTGAATAGCAAGGCAGTATTATTTTCATGTATATTCAGTTCAGTTGGGTTAACATTGAACTATCTGATGAATGATTCAGCTAAATTAGGTAACTACTCCTGAATAGACAACTTACAAACATTTGGTGCTCCTTTCATTCATATACTGAGAAATAAAGAAGCCATGTTATAAAATATGAAAGCATGTGACCTACATTTAATTTTTTTAACCAAATTGGTTTTGAATTGTTGAATACATTACGAAACTTGATGTTTACTATTTTTTTCTAGAGAACACATATTTATGGTTTATTAAATTTTAGAGTTACATGCTTCTGTAATTTGGAACTCTTAAAGTAGTAATTATGGTCACAAAATGGAAAACAATAACCAAATTGAAATCAGTTCTTGTATTTTGAATGTTGAGGCAATAATCTATGGGTCACATCTTTGCCAAATTTTATCCAAATGTTAAAGATCTCCATTCATATCACATGTAGATAAGGTTATACCAACACATGATAGAGTTTCATGTAACAATACTGATTACAATTTTAAAACATAAACCCATCGGAAAT
Organism: Homo sapiens; assembly: GCF_000001405.40. Taxonomy (NCBI): domain Eukaryota; kingdom Metazoa; phylum Chordata; class Mammalia; order Primates; family Hominidae; genus Homo; species Homo sapiens. The sequence goes on along the minus strand of NC_000004.12, from coordinate 91,286,487 downwards.
TGAGAAGAGAACTGTATCTGAATAAATGATGCATCATTTTGGTATTTAAATAAAAATGTACTAGTAGCATTCAAATAACTTTCCAAGACTCCACATTATCCAACTTAGTGAACCTTCATCAAGCGTTTTCTCTGAAAGTGGAAAATACTAACCAAACCTATACTATTTCCAATTTAACGTTGATAAATTATTAGCAACAAATAAATGCATATTTGTGTGGGCCTGTTAATTAAAAGCTATACAGTGCTTTCCAAGATAGAGAGTGAATCCTGTCATTGTAGATTCACAGCCTTTCTAATCATATCATCATCTAGGCAATCCCTCTCTGTTGCTAAATTCCATTTCAAATTATTGTTAAGGAAAATTTCTTGACTGATTATATTTTTGAAATAGTTAAAATGGCAACCATAAAACAAAGTCCTTAAAACTGAATTAAAAAAAAAACTAAACTTTAATTGTAACTTCAGGAAAGTATTCATCACACCTTGTGATGTAGGTAGAAATGGAAAAAAAAAACAAAACAAACACGCTAGAATCAAGAACCAACTATAAAATTTCTAGATAGGTATTCACAGGAAGTAGGGGAGAAACAAAAATGTTTACTATTAATATTCTAACATTTGTGTATAGAAAAAAAGCATTCATTCCTTCTACATAACAACTTTGATAAGCACCACAATTACAAATACTCAAGGAGATTCTTCTAATGTGTAATGCAGAGATCCTAAAATTTGCATTTGACTAAAAGAAAATGTGATAATAAGCATTCCAAATTCATGAATCTTACATGCTTATCTGTGCCAAGTCAGCATATTTAGGAAGGTAATATCCATTTTATCGTGGTACATATTGGTAAATATTGCAACTTAAGACCCTCAGACTTACAGAAATCATACATCTTTTTGTTTTTCTTTCTATTTTTAGTAGGATTAACTCACTTAACTGGAACCAGTGATCGAAAATCTCAAATATCCAGTATTTTTATTTACATATAAATACACTTTGATTTCGTGAAAGCAAAAGGTAAGTTTAATTCAAATTAAGGATAATAATTCCATACCCTTTATATTTCCGCTTATGGCTTCATAGCACATATAATAAATTCACAGTTCCCCAAATCTCTAGTAAAAATATCTTCTCTATCTCCATAACAGCATTTCCTATATTCAATGAAATATAACATATAGCACAAGGACTTTTTTCTTTAAAAAGAGACACATCTTAAAAAAAAAAAAAAAAACCCATTGAAGTTTTTGCTATGGTTTTCAATTTTCATTAATTAATACTGCCGTAATGCCTATATTTAAGAAGCCATATCTTTAGTGTACATTAGAAATGTAGACGATAGAGAGACCTATGAAAAGAAATAAGAGCAAAGGACAATTTGAGATGTTTGAGAGATTATTTAACTTTAGGTGGAGTTTTAATATATCTAAACCCCATCTTCTGTTCACATTAGCAGTTCTGTCTGCTGCAACTATATTCATAAGAACCCAAACTTTCAAAATTTTTTCATTAGAAAGGAGATAGTAAAGTACATATTTTTTTGTTCATTGTTGGGGCAGCTTTATCATGGTGGAAAGTCCTGCATTTTTTGTTGAAGTGATTCACGGATCCTTCTCAGTGAATGTCATCAACTCATATGTTTTTTTCTGCCAATAGTGAAGAAAAGCATTATGCAAACAGGACTGTACCTTTGAATCACCTTTAACATCATATTAAGATGGATTTACTTGGCATTTATTGCTAGGCATGACAATTAGAGTCACATGGGTGTCTTGCTGTAGCAGTCTATAATGGAGGTAAACAACCATGATTATCTGACGGATGCTGGTGTGGGAAAAGAGGAAAGACATGGATGGAATGGGCAATGAAAATAGCTCTTTCTCAAAGTCTGATGGCACTTTGGAGAGCCTACATATTCAATTTACATATACATTTCTCATTGACAAAAAGTACATGTTAAAGCAGACAAGCTGTCACAGAAATCTCCCGAACTGAAATGCAGGTATCTGACTCTGCCGAGGTGCATATATTTATAACACAGCTGAGCAAGGTTGTAAACTCTGGGCTTTCTATCTAAACATTTATAGATTAATTTCAATTTTCTAAATGTGATGACTTTGGGAAAAAAAACCAACATTGTTACAATGTCAAGTTTGCTTTAAATTCACTAGAAGAAGTATTTCTTTTAATGGATTTCCTTTTCTAGGAAAGTTCTCATTAGCTGTGGCAAAAACACAACTGTGCATGATATAAGAAGTCTTTGAACCAATAAGTAAAAGGAGTTAGAACTTAAGAAACCTTACTGAGTTGAGAGAGAGAGTGCTAATATTGTTGCTAAATGAAAATAAACTTAAGTAAGAGTCACTTCTTTCTTTGCCCCAGACTTTGAGCCATTAGTCTCAATGCAGTTGGCCACATTGCAATGCAGTTTTCTTAAATGGGCTGGATAATGACAAACAGATAAGGAAGAGGCAAAGGGAACCATTTACTACAAACATATTATAGGTAATATACAACACTGGGGATTGCATATTGACCTTTGGGCATTTGGTCTCAATCAGCATGCCATGCTACAGCACAGGAACACAGTCATGTTTACAACACAGAGCTGAATTTAAGAGACTCACATAATTGCCTGCGAGAAGGTACAGGAGCACTTCCATAAGCTGTGCCCTGTAAATAAAACAAATTTTTTTTTTTGGAGCAAATGATGTCAGCATTAGTAACAGTAGAAAATGGTGGAGAAATGAATAGAAATCAAAATAAATAAAGGTGGCTTAAGAGGCTGCTTTTATCAAATAAGTCCTATGAGTTCCTATTTTTGGCAGACAAATATATATTAATGTTTGTAGGAAATTAAGTAAAAAATATATATAACACACCAAAACATGAAAGTAAAATAAAAATTACAGCAAAAGATGGGAACATTTAAATTTGACAGGAAGTTTTGTGAAAAGTAGAACACACATGATATTTATGAAGTGGCCTCCTTAAAAAGTAGGTTCCCTTGCACCAATTCCTTAGCTGATGCAAACATTTTCTCAAAATCTTTTAAACTAAGCAGTGCATTAGTAGTTGCTCTTTTCTTTTTCTACCTCAAATACTATAGAAAGGAAAGATGAAGACTTCAATAAAATGGCCCTAATCTATGCATCAACAAAAGCATAGAAAAAGCAGCATTATTTAATAAAGGGAAAAAAGTTATTACATGAAAATATTAATTGTGTATGAAGGGCATAAAAGTTAGAATGAACACATCTAAATAGTTTCTACATCCCTCCAGTTAAAAGAGAGCTGTACAAACACATATTGCAATTTAAATTATATATTTTTATTCCTAGCAATGACCTCTGTCACAGAATTATATTATAATATACTCAAGGACATGTTTTAAAACATTAAGTAAATAAAAATCTCAGTGAATCAATAATTCATTATAAATATAATAACTTAGAAATGACAAGAATATCTTTAAAAGATTAAATAATATGTATTGAACATTTACTCTGTAAAGCTCTTATGCTTAGCACACGAAAAGTATGATCTCATTTATTTTCTTTTATTATTATTTCCATTTTTGCTGACAGAAAAATTCTTTTTAGGATTAAGTAATTTTAGATTTGGTTCAGAATCAGTTAAAGAACCATTAAGTTTTTAAGGATAGCTAAATAGTTAAAGTGGTGGATCCACAAAATAATCCCTGTTGCCAAATTTTAATGAACCTTACTTCTAATAAAGAATAGCAAATCCTAATATTAAGGCCTTGGACCTATAAAGACATACTAAAGAGGGAGCTTATCTTGTCAAATATTTGCACGATTGCATTAAAGGATGATAAATAAGACGTGCAAATCCATGCTTAAATTTCCTTTGTCTAAGAATATGTTTCTGTCTCTAATCTATTTAGGGAGAGGTTATGGTCTATTGGAATTTCCCTGGGGTAGGTTTAAATACATTTTGCTCTGAAGAGCGACTTGTGAGTAAATTTGATGAAATGATTACAACCTCCACATAGAAGAAAGCATAATAATCTATAAAATTGCTGTACAGACCCAAGTGTAGGTTGTTAGCACCAACCCCATCAGTCATTCGCCCCGAACAAGCATTGAATGACATAAGACAGAATCTTGAATAGACTAATGTTTACTACTTTGAGTCTAAGGGCAGAAATCATGGCAGGTTATCTAAGCACTGTTTCAGCATTGCATTTGAGATGGAATAAAGTCACACCTGTATAATTCATGATTTAGAAGTCAAGAAAGATCTAGATCAGAAAGGAGATCTGCCTAAATCTGGAAGATTCTAAACTGGGATATGCACACATAGGTTTATTTGAATCTACAGCACAATATTCACTATACAAGGCTGATTTTTTTAAAAAGTTATCATTATTTAAGGCAAAGACTCACCAATATTTGCGACAAAAACATTCAAGTTTTTTTTAACTTTGTAAGTTACATCAAGTCTAAGTAATTAAAAGCTAAAAATAACAAAAACCAATATTTTTTAAAAGCTCTATTATTAAATATCAAAATACAAACTAAAAACACATGTTTTCTATTTATTTGAAAAATATTTCTGAGGCCTGTAATATGTTAGGACTGATCTTCATTAGAGATTTAACTAGGGAAAGAGGAATACTACAATGCATTCCTATAACAAACAAGGAACAAACTTACTTACAAAGAAAAATGTAAACTATGAGAAAGTAATATATTTATAATACACTGACTGGAGAAGCTAGTCTCCTAATATCAAAAACTTCAAGTTGTTGAGATAAATCACAGGAAAGTCACAATTAAGTAAGTCCAGAATAGCTAAACAAAATTCTGCTGAAGAAGACCTTGGCTTTACATTTTTATCTAACTGGTTCCGAGGCATTTACTACATGATACTTCTTTCATTCTAATGAAAAATCTGATGTCATATGGTCGACATCCTGAGTTGTCTCCCCAGATCACAGTTCTCCCCTACAGTTACCTACTTCTGTATCAATTAAGTTTCTTTTTGATTGCACTTTGTACATGTGGCTGCCTTGTATTTGTGTTTTTTCATTACACTGTCAGAGTCATTTAATTTAGTTATATGTTTATGCTCAATGAAATCTTTTACAATGAGAAATTCCATCAGGGAGGGGCTTCAAGATAGCTGACTAGAGGCATGTGATACTTGATCCCTCCACAGATAAGAACCAAAAGAGTGAATAGATAATCACATTTTGAATAGATCCCATAAGAAAGAAAATGCTGAAATGCAATGAAAAATGACAAGAAATGCCTAAGACATGGAAGGAAAGGAATGTGAGGCAGCCAGCTCAACTGGGAACAGCTGGGAGCCTGGAGAGATTCCCCAAAACAAGGGAAGGGTAAGTTACTGACTACCAGTGGTCTACATTTCCATGGTGGATTTCTGCAATTCTAGCCACAGAAGAGCCCCTCAACTCACACAAGCCCTAAGACTAACATACAGAGATTTTCAGAGACCACCCAATGACATTGCTTCATAGAGGGAGCTCACACTGGGGCCACACTTGCCCTGAGTCCTAAGCAAATATAGCACCACACCATTTTGAGAGCCTAACGACCCACCAACTGCATCCTTCCCTGGGAAGCAACAGTCCCTGCATCTCCACATCTCTGGAGCACCACTGACATTCCCTTCCCACAGCCAGGTACTGCTGCTGGCTGCTGTCAGAGCCCAAGTGTGAGCCATTGGCAGCAACCCAGTCTCCTTCAGTAGCAGGGTCTCTGTTCATTTAAAAATGCCCTGAGGAAATATTATACCCCACTTATAGACACCACCTGTGGCCGATGCTCTCACTCCTAAACCACTTGTTTATGTCTGCTGCAAAGGAAAACAACGCCACTCTCTACAGCAGCAGAGCCACAGTGTAATCACTGCTGCCCCCACCCAAGCATTTCACCAGGGTTCTGGGGATCGCCCTGTCCTATCCACCTCTCTCAGCACCTGTGTACTTATTCCAGAGGCCTGAGGATGGGCAAACACAACCTGATAACTACCATCACAGCTGGCACCCACCTGTATGTGCCACTTGAGAGCATTGGAACTAATCCATCCAGTCCACTGCAATCACCACTAACAGTGGAGTGGACTTCTTGGGGGCCAGATGATTGTCTCACCACTGCTACTGCTATCACCCATGCAATACCAACTTGGGTGGTCTCCAGAGGCCCAAGAAACTTCCCACCTACCTGACCCATTGTTGTCACTACCAGCACTCAAGCAAGCTGACTGGAGGCCCAAGAATCACTCTGCCTAAACCCACTAACACTGGTGCCAGCATTACTGCTTTGGGGCTCAAGGACAGGCATGCTTGTCCTGCCACTCCTGTACTGTGGCCAAATGACTGGCCTGTTTAATGTCTTCATCTCCAGTAAAACTTTACCACAGTCTGCACAAACAAACACACTCTCAGCCAGTGTGGAAATCATAGACACTACTGACACTGTTTACAGCCAATAAATCATATAGAGACTATACTACGGCACATGACCAGAATTAAAGCCAAAGCACCTTATCCAACGAACACCACAGATACATCTTCAGGAAAAAAGTCCTTTCTTATTAAAAAATATTCAAAAAATAGAAAGAAGTGACTAGTACACCAGGTGTGCAAATATCAATATAAGGGCACAAGAGACATGAAAAAGCAAGGAAAGAAGACACCTCCCAAAAAACACAATCATTCTCAAGCAACAATTCCAATGAAGAAATTTGTGAAATTCCAGAAAAATAATTCAAAGTAGTGTTATTTAAGAAGCTCACTTAGAAACAAGATAATTCAGAAAATCAATACAAAGAAATCAGAAAAGCAATTCAGGATATGAATGAGCAATTTACCAAAGAGATAGATATCACAAAAAAGAACCAAATAGAAACTGTTAAACTGATGAATTCCTTGAATGAAATACAAAATGCTCAAAGCTTTGACAAAGGACTAGATCAAGCAGAAGAAAAAGTTTCAGAACTTGAAGACAGTTCTTTTGAAATAACTCAGTCAGACAAAGATAAAGGAAAAAAAATAAAAATAAATGAACAAAATCTATGAGACATATAGGATACCATAAGTCCACCAAATATTCTAATTTTGGGGGTCTCTCAAAGGTGGAGGGAAAATAAAAGGAATACAAAACACACTTATTGAAATAATAACTGAAAACTTTCCAACTCTAGCAAGAGATTGAGACATTCAGATACAGGAAGCTCAAAAAGGCCTTCCCAAGACATTATAGTCAAATTGTCAAAAGTCAAAGACAAAGGGATTTTTAAAAACAGCAACAGAAAAGCATCGACTCACTTCTAAGGCAATTCCATCAGACTAACAGCAGATTTCTTAACAGAAACCTCACAGGCCAGGAGAGAATGGAGTGATATATTCAGTGCTGAAAGAAAAAAAAAAAAATAAACCTGGCGGCCAAGGACATGCTATACAGCAAATTTATCCTTCATAAACGAAGAAGAGATAGTCTTTCCCAGGTCAGCAAAAGCTGAGGGAATTCATAACCACTAGACTGGTCATACAGGAAATGCTTAAGGGAGTTCTACACGTGGGAATGAAAATATAATATCTACCATCAGGCAAACACACAAAAATATGAAACTCAGTGGTACAGTACACACACAAATGAGAAAAACAAAGGACTCAAATATTACCACCACAGAAAACCACCCAACATGAATGATAAACAATAAGAAGGAGAAATAAATAAGGATAGAGAAATGAGAAACTAATTAATAAAATGACAAGAAAAAAACCTCACATATCAACATTAACCTTGAAGGTAAATGGATTAAACTTTCCACTTAAAAGATATAGACTGGCTAAAGGCAAAAACAAAACAAAACAAAACACAAACAGGACCCAACTATACAATGCCTGTAAGAAACTCACTGCATCTACAAAGACACATACAGACAGAAAATAAAGAGACGGAAAAAGATACTCCATGCAAACAGAAACCAAAATGATCAGGAGTAGCTATACTTACTTCAGGTAAAACAGACTTTTCAGTCAAGACAAAAAGGCTCATTATATAATGATTAAAGGATCAATTCAGTGAGAGGGTATTACATTTCTAAACATATATGCACCTGATAGAGGAGCACCAGATACATAAAGCAAACATTACCAGATGTAAAGGGAAGAACAGATTCCAATACAATAATAGTAATAGTTAGGGACTTCAACGCCCTACTGTCAGCATTAGACCAATCATCTACACAGAAAATCAACAAAGAAACATTGGATTTAAACTGCATTTTAGACCAAATGGACCTAGCAGACATTTACGGATTATTTCATCTGAGAACAGCAGAATAAACGTTCTTCTCCTTAGCATATGGAACATTCTCCAGGCCATATGTTAGGACACAAAACAAGCCCCAACAAATTTTTAAAAATTGAAATATATCAAGTATCCTCTCAGGCCACCATAGAATAAAACTAGAAATCAATAACTATAGGAACTTTAGAAGCTGTACAAATAAATGGAAATTAAACAACATGCTCCTGAATAACCATTGGGTCAAGGAAGCAATTAAGAAAGAAATAAAATAATTTATTGAAAAGATGAAAATTGAGACACAACATATCAAAACCTATGGAATACAGCAAAAGCAATGTTAAAATGCAAGTTTGTAACAACAAAACCCTAGATCAAAAAAATAGAAAGATTTCTAAGCATGCAATGATGCACCTCAAGAAATTAGAAAAGCAAGAACAAACCAAACCCAAAATTAGTAGAGAAAAATGAAATAATAAAAGTCATAGCAGAACTAAACAAAATTGAGACTCAAAAAATATATATAAAGGATCAATGAAACAAAAAGTTGTTTTTTAAAAAAGATAAGTAAATAGATAAACCACTAGCTAGACTAACCAAGAAAAAGAGGAAAAAAAACAAATAAAATCAGAAGCCAAAAAAAAAAAAAAAAGGACAAAATGGATACCACAATAACAAAAAATAATCAGAGACTATTATGGACAAATATATACTAACAAACTGGAAAACTTAAACAAAATGGATAAATACCAGGACACATACAACCTAACAAGACTGAAACAGGAAGAAATAGAAAATCTGAACAGATCAGTAACACATAATAAGATTGAAGCAGTAATAAAAAGTCTCCGCCAAGCCCCGCCAAAAGAAGTCCAGAATTGAATACATCAGTCTCATGAAGTCAGGATCCAATAGCTTCACTGGTGAAATGTACGAAACTTTCTAAGAACTTATACCAATTCTTCTGAAACTATTCAAAAATATTTACAAGAAGGGAATTCTTGCTAACTCATTCTATGAGGGCAGTATTACCCTGATACCAAAGGCAGAAAAAAGTGCAACAAGAAAACTACAGTCCAATATCCCTGATAAACATAGATGCAAAAATCCTCAACAAAATACCAGCAAATCAAATCTAAGAGTATATCAAAAATATAATACACCATGATCAAGTGACATTTATCCCAGCAGTGCAAGACTAGTTCAACCTATGCAAATCAATAAATGTCATGTATCACCTCAACAGTATGAAGAATAGAAACCATATGATCATCTCAATAGTTGTAAAAAAGCATTTGGAAAAATTCAACATTCCTTTATGATAAAAACTCAAAAAAACTGCCTTATAGGCATAAAAGGAACATACCTTAAGATAACAAATGCCATATATGATAAACCTACAGCTAACCTTGGACACAATGGGAAAAACTGGAAAATCTTTTCTCTAAGAACTGGAACAAAACAAGGATATCCACTTTTATCTCTCCTACTCAACACAGTACTGGCAGACATAGCCAGAACAATCAGGTAAGAGAAAGAAAGAAAAGGCATTCCAAATTGAAAAAATGGAAGTAAAATTATCCCTGTTTGGAGATGACATGATCTTATTTCTATTACAGAAAGAGCTAAAGACTCCACCAAAAACTCTTAGATTTGATAAATAAATTCAGTAAAGTTGAAGGATACAAAAACCAACATACAAAAATCAGTAGTGTTATATACTAATCATAAACTGGTTGAAAAAGAAATGAAGAAGGTAATCTCATTTTTCAATAGCTACAAAAATTACCTAGAAATAAATGTATTCAAGGAGATGAAAGACCTACTCAAGGAAAACTACAAAATTCTGATGAAAGAAGTTGAGGACAAAAAAAAAAAAAAAAAAGGAAAGACATCCCAGCAGAATTAACATCATTAATGTAACTATACTACCCAAAGAAATCTACAAATTCAGTGCAATCCTTAATAAAATACCAATGTCATTTTTCACAGAAATAGAAAAAAAAATCCTAAAATGTGTATGGAACCAAAAAAGAGCTGGAATAGACAAGGCAATTCTGAACCAAAAGAATGAAACCAGAGGCAACATACTAACTGATTTCAAAATTTATTACAAGCCTAGAGTAATAACAATAGAATGGTATTGGTACAAAAACAAGACACATAGACTGATGGAATAGAATAGAGAACCCCAGATAAATCCATGTTTTTATAGTTAACTAATTTTGACAAAAACACCAAAAAAATAAATTGGAGTAAAGGAGTCCCTTCAATAAATGGTGCTGGGTAAATTGGACATCTATATGCAACAGAATGAAACTGAAACCGTATCTCTCACCATCTACAAAAATCAACTCAAGACGGTTTAAAGACTTAAATCTAAAAGCTGAAACTATAAAACTGCTAAAAGAAAACATAGAAGAAACAATTCAGGACATTGCTCTGGGCAAAGGTTTTATGGCTAAGACCTCAAAAACACAAGTAGGCAAATGAGATTCTATTACACTAAAAAGCTTCTGCACAGCAAAAGAAACAGTCAACAGACTGAAGAGACAACCTATAGAATGAGAGAAAATATTTGCAAACTATTCATCAAACAAGAAACTAATATGCAGAATATACAAAGAACCTAAACAATTTAACGGAAAAGAAAAGCTAAATAAACCCACTAAAAGTTGGACAAATTATCTTAATATACATTTGTCAGAAGAAGACATAAAAATGGCCAACAGGTAGTTGAAAAAATGCTCAACATCACGAATCATCAGGGAGGTGCAAATCAAAAACAAATTGAAATATCATTTTAACCCAGTTAGAGTAGCTATTATTAAAAAGACAAAAACAAAAACAAAAACAAAAAACAAAAACAAACAAAAAAAAACAGATGCTGGCAAGGATGCAAAGAAAAGGGAACTCTTATACATTGTGGGTGGAAATGTAAATTAATACATGCACTATGGAAAACAGTATGAATATTTCTTGAAAAACGATAAATAGAACTACCACATGATGCAGCAATCCCCTACTGGGCACTTAGGCAGAGGAAAATAAATTAGTGTTTCTTTTTTTTTTTTAGACGGAGTCTCGCTCTGTCACCCAGGCTGGAGTGCAGTGGCGCGATCTCGGCTCACTGCAAGCTCTGCCTCCCGGGCTCACACCATTCTCCTGCCTCAGCCTCCCAAGTAGCTGGGACTACAAGCGCCTGCCACCACTCCCAGCTATTTTTTTTGTATTTTTAGTAGGGACGGGGTTTCACTGTGTTAGCCAGGATGGTCTCGATCTCCTGACCTCGTGATCCGCCCGCCTCAGCCTCCCAAAGTGCTGGGATTACAGGCATGAGCCACTGCGCCAGGCCAATAAATTAGTATTTCAAAAAGATACTTGCACCCATATGTTTATTGCAGCATTATTCACAATAGCAAAAATATGGAATGGACCTCAGTGTCCATTAATGGTCAAACGAATAAAGAAAAGTGGTATACATACACAAGAGAATACTATTTGGCCATAAAAAAGAATAACTCATGTCATTTGCAGCAAGATGGATGAACTAGAGGTCATTATTTCAGGTGAAATAAGCCAGGCACAGAAAAACAAATAGTGCATGTTCTCACTCATGTGGGAGCTAAAAACATTAATCTCATGGAGGTAGAGAGTAGAATGATAAATACTAGGGCCTGGGAAAAATGGGTGGGTGGGTGGTGTGATGAACAGAGGGTGGTTAATGGGTATAAACATACAGTTAGAAAGAAGAAATAAGCCCTAATGTTCAATAGCAGAGTAGGGTGACTATAGTAAACAACAGTGTTTCGTATATTTTAAAATAGCTGAAAGAAAGGACTGGAAATGTTCTGACACAAGGAAAGGATAAATACTTAAGGCAAGGATATCTTAAACACTCTGGCTTGATCATTACACATTCTATGCATGTAATAAAATATCACATGTACCCCATACATATGTAAAAATAGTATGTATCAATAAAAATAAAAAAAATTAAAAAGTCATCACATCAGCATAAAGACAAAATAGCCAAATTTATTTTTTAATAAGATGCCAAATCTAAGATAGTGTATTACCAAAGTGCTCATTTACTGAACCCAGACTTTATAAACTTTATTTTAGACTTTCTTATTGGTATAATATGTATATTAGTTAAAAATAAAGGAGAGTTAACCTAACTATTTTTTTCCAAGTGATACTTGTGTTGGAGTGACAAATAATCAGATATTACCATAAGAAGCCTAATTATTGCTTTTAAAAGTACTGTGCTTTGGTGATACACCACAGAAACAGAATCAAAAACAAAAATCACATGATCATCTCAATAGATGAAGACAAGGCATTCAACAAAATCTAGCATCCTTTTATGATTAAAACTCTCAGCAAAATTGGCATATAGGGACATACCTCAGTGTAATAAAAGCCATCTATGACAAACCCACAGCCAACATAATACTGAATAGAGAAAAGTTTAAAGCACTCCATCTGAGAGCTGGCAAGACAAGGATGCCCACTCTCACCACTCCTCTTCAATACAGTACTGGAAGTCCTAGCCAGAGCAATCAGACAAGAAAATGAAATAAAGGGCATTCAAATCGGTAAAGAGGAAGTCAAACTGTCACTGTCTGCTGATGATATGATTGTTTTCCTAGAAAACCCTAAAGACTCCTCCAGAAAACTCCTAGAACTGATAAAAGAATTCAGCAAAGTTTCCGGATACAAAATTAATGCACACAAATCAGTAGATCTTCTATACACAAACAGCAACCAAGCAGAGAATCAAATCAAGAACTCAACCCCTTTTACAATAGCTGAAAAAACAAAAAAACAAACAAACACTTAGGATTACACCTAACCAAGGAGTTAAAAGACCTCTACAAGGAAAACTACAAAACACTGCTGAAAGAAATCACAGATGACCCAAACAAATGGAAACCCATCCTATGCTCACGGATGGGTAGAATCAATATTGTGAAAATGACTATACTGTCAAAAGCAATCTACAAATTCAGCACAATTCCCATAAAAATACCACAATCAGTCTTCACAGAATTAGAAAAAAAAAATCCTAAAATTCATATAGAACCAAAAAAAGAGCCAGCATAGCCAAAGCAAGACTAAGCAAAAAGAACATATCTGGAGGCATCACATTACCCGATTTCAAACTATACTATAAGGCCATAGTCACCAAAACAGCATGATACTGATATAAAAATAGGCACACAGATGGAAGGAACAGAATAGAGAACCCAGAAATAAAACCAAATACTTACAGCCAACCAATCCTTGACAAAGCAAACAAGAATATAAAGTGGGCAAAGCACACACTATTCAAAAAATGGTGTTGGGATAATTGGCAAGCCACATGTAGGAGAATGAAACTGGATCCTCATCTTTCACCTTATTCAAAAATAAACTCAAGATGAATCAAGGACTTAAATCTAAGACCTGAAACTATAAAAATTCTAGAAGATAACATTGGAAAAACCCTTCGGGCATGGCTTAGGCAAAGAGTTCATGACCAAGACACAAAACCAAATGCAATAAAAACAAAGATAAATAGCCGGGACTTAATTAAACTAAAGAGGTTTTGCACAGCAAAAGGAACTGCCAGCAGAGTAAACAGACAACCCACAGAGTGGGAGAAAATCTTCACAATCTATATATCTGACAAAGGACAAATACCCAGAATCTACAACAAACTCAAACTTATTAGCAAGAAAAAAAACCAATTCCATCAAAAAGTGGGCTAAGGACATGAATAGACAATTCTCAAAAGAAGATATACAAATGGCTAATAAATATATGAAAAAATGCTCATCACTAATGACCAGGGAAATGAACATCAGAATCACAATGGGACACCACCTTATCCTGCAAGAATGGCCATAATCAAAAAATCAAAACATAATAGATATTGGTGTGAATGCAGTGAACAGGAAACATTTTTACACTGCTGGTGGGAATGTAAACTAGTACAACCACTATGGAAAACAGTGTGGAGAATCCTTAAAGAACTAAAAGTAGAACTATCATTTGATCCCAGTATTGGCTATCTACCCAGAGAAAAATAAGTCATTATATGAAAAAGATACTTGTACACACGTTTATAGCAGCACAATTTGCAATTGCAAAAATGTGGAACCAACCCAACTGCCAGTCAATCAATGTGTAGATAAAGAAACTGTGGTATCAGGAGTTTGAGACCAGCTTGGCCAACATGGTGAAACCCTGTCTTTACTAAAAATACAAAATTAGCCAGGAGTGGTGGCATGTGCCTGTAATCCTGGCTACTCGGGAGGATGAGGCAGGAGAATCACTTGAACCCAGGAGGCAGAGGTTGCAGTTAGCTGAGATGGTGCCATTGCACTCAAGCCTGGGCAACAAGAGCGAAACTCCGTCTCAAAAACAAACAAAAGGAAACTGTGATATATATATGTGTATCATATGTATATGTGTATGTATATATGTATATCATATATATGTGTGTGTATATATATCATATATATATGTGTGTATATATGTATATCATATATATGATGGAATACTACTCAGCCATAAAAGGGAATTAGTAAATGGCATTTGCAGCGACCTGGATGAGATTGGAGACTGCTATTCTAAGTGAAGTAACTCAGGAATGGAAAACCAAACATTGTATGTTCATATGTTCTCACTCATAAGTGGGAGCTAAGCTATGAGGATGCAAAGGCATAAGAATGACACAATGGACCTCAGGGACTCAGGAGGAAAGGGTGGGAAGGGGGTGAGAGATGAAAGACTACAAACTGGGTGCAGTGTAAACTGCTTGGGTGATGAATGCACCAAAATCTCACAAATCACCACTAAAGAACTTATTATTGTAACCAAACACCACCTGTTCCCCAATAACCTATGGGGAAAAAAAAAGTACTATGCTACAGAAAACTGCTTAGCATAAGTAACTTATGACCAGTTAAAAGAAAACATTTAAGGAGATATGATGACAAAGCCTAGATTATTCAATTTACCCACATAATTTTCCTTCTACTGTTTTCTTTCTAAAATATTGATTTTAAAAAATCTATCTATTACTTAAGACAATGAATTAAAACAACAATATTTAATATATTAATATATCTAAATCCAGATATAGAACTTATTCATGCAAGACATATTTAAGAATAAGTTAGTGTTCAGCTTAACCATAGGAGCTTAATAAATCCAGTAGAGAACTCCTGCACTTCTGGGCTTTTTTCCCCACACACAACCTGTAGTTCATGAATATCATTACATTTATTTAACTATTTTTTTCAGTGTTTCATAGCACACCATGTACTTATTTAAAATGCTTTATTATATTAGCAATGACAAAATTATCTGAAGCATATATTATCTCCATACTATATAATAGCCTTCCATTACCACAAATAGGAAAGAGGGAGAAGTAGCAAAGTAAATTTCCATGGCTACAAAGCTGGAAAGTGGCACTGACAGCCTTGAACTGAATTCTTTTGGCCTCTGCATCCCAGGAGCTTCTCCACCAGATTCTGAGTCTGTATAATCAGGATGAGTATGAGGACTGAGCCAATTAGAGACTGCTTTGTGAATTATGAGTATTGTGATTTCTGTTATAAACTGTCTTCACTGTAAATTAGACCTGTAATAAGCACATGAGTCTGTCACAGAGAATGAATGTAAAGAACAGAAATCCATGAAAGAAAGGAAAAAGAAATGCCTTAAAAAGAACAAAAAAAAATGTGATGAACGTTGTTAATACCTTCCTACTCCTCTGGAAGTGGTTACTAAAGAGAGATTCTTGGTGTAGCTCAGAACATAGGTATAGAAAAGAGTAACATACCATCTTGTTAGAGTAAGAGTCAACACCATTTTTACCTAGGAAAAATGTTAAAATAATACCTGAACTATAATTGAATAAGAATTCAGCACTTATTCCCTGGCCTCAGGCACACACATCAAAAAGCAAAACAGTGTTAGACATGGAATGGAAATATAAACATAAGAAAATTCTTAAGTAACTCTTTATCCAAAAGCTTGAGGCCAAGTGATTTTTCAGAATTCAGAATTATTCAGAATTTACAAAAAGCACCCTTAGCTACATCTGGAGCTGGTGTAATCAAAGACATTAATATCTCTGCGGCAAAAGTATAATCACACTTTGATTTTTAAAAACTGTAAATAGCTTCTTTTCAATTCAGGTAAGATTTTGTTACCATATAATTCATAAAAGAACTTTCACTTATCAGGGGATTTGGTTTGCTTATTTGTGTTTTGGATCTCAGAATTGCAGATAAGTGTGTGACTAAAGAGCTGTAATATTATTTTAAAAGTACACAATTGGAATCTAAAGGGGTATGAATTTTTTTTAAGTAGAGTTTTAATTGTATTATCTTACACCCTCTGGAAGTTAAAGTTCTCTTGATATTTAAATAGTTTAAGAAGCAGTCGTTCAAGAAAATATCTGAGTTATATAAGAGCAGCATTTACAGAAGAATGCTCAACTTCTGAAATTATCATTCACAAGTAAAATAAAAATTTGACCTTGGTCCCATCATGGTATATACATGTGGAAATGTAGGATTTAGTTAATATAATCATTGTAAATGTTGTAGAATGATAAAATTTTAAATAATAACAAGATATTTCTGATAAACATATAAGTATTCTCATATTCTTTAATGCATTTTGGTGGAATTTCTATTTAAGCTTATATGAGTAATCCTTCAAGCTTTTATGTAGCACCCAGAACTATCTTCAAGGGTTAATTAGAAGACCTGGGTTAACAGTTCAGGAAACACGTAGTCTGTAAAATGCTTGGCGATTCCCCGAAATTTGAAAGTATTCAGATGTGTGCATTTTAGGTACTTATACAAGAAATGGCTACTAGTTTTGTGCTTATTTAGATTTTTGCTTTGATATTTATATTAACCCTTAATTAAAACATCCAAATTAAACACATTAAAGTATTAGCTCTCTTAAAATCCCTTTTGGAGCATAGACCTGCCCAAGGCATGCCTTCAATCTGTTGCTTTGGTTGACATACAGTGATAAAGTCACTTGCTCATTAATCAAACCAGACAGTGTACAGAATTTGCAAGGCCAAAGTGCCTTTAAATAGACTACAATTTTTTACCCAGTTTGTTATCTTTGCATGACCAAAAATAGTGATAATCAGGCTGAATTTTATTGTTAGCATTTCAGACCTCATTTCAAGAATAATTTGTCAGGCCTCTGAGCCCAAGCCTGCACGTATACGTCCAGATGGCCTGAAGCAAGTGAAGAATCACAAAAGAAGTGAAAATGGCTGGTTCCTGCCTTAACTGATGACATTCCACCATTGTGATTTGTTCCTGCCCCACCTTAACTGATTGATTAACCTTGTGAAATTCCTTCTCCTGGCTCAGAACCTCCCCTGCTGAGCACCTTGTGACCCCGCCCCTGCCTGTAAGAGAAAAACCCCCTTTGACTGTAATTTTCCACTACCCACCCAAATCCTATAAAACAGCCCCACCCCTATCTCCCTTTGCTGACTGTCTTTACGGACTCAGCCAGCCTGCACCCAGGTGAAATAAACAGCCTTGTTGCTCACACAAAGCCTGTTTGGTGGTGTCTTCACTGGGAAGCGCGTGACATAATTCTTCAGCCATGTTTTGAATTTGAAGGTAGTGCAGTGAAAACTGAGACCATAAAGTGATTAAAATTTGGTGTTAGATCTCTTAACTACCAGAAAAGGGAAACTACATGAAATGAATAAAGAAAAAAATAACAGATTTGTGAGATAATTTCCTTTATATTCTCAACAGCCTGGTAGAAACTCAGAAGTGAAAACCTATAAGGGTAATAATAAATCACATCCTCACATCCCCCCAATAATGCTGCCAGATCTAAACATTTCTATGTCTATTAAGGAAATAACCACTGTGAACATGCACTGATAAAATTAAATGTATGCCCTTCTTTTTTATTTACCTCTAATGTTATTTGCCATAGTTATACACATAGTAGAAATTTACCATGCAAATTTTAACAAACATTCTCAGTACAAATTTTGGTATGATTAATTTCAAAATGTCTAGTTTAATGAGAAACATTTAATTGAGGTATGCGAAAACACATATGTTTTCTGAGATAGACTTAGCTTTACATTCTTTTCATTTTCTTAAATTGATCCTCTTGAAAATTATTCTTTGGCAATTTTCAATAATACATCTCCTGCTAGTACTTCAGTAAGAAACACAGAGGTAGATATGAACTCTGATGGTATGCTGAGAATATGAAATGCAGTATCACCCATAAGAAAAACACAAATTCCTCTGCATGCTTTATATCATTTTAACTTACAATAGTAATCACAACTTACTGTGTTTCCTGGGGATTTCCCAAGGCACAGCCAAAGGCAATCAGTTCCTCTCAGCTAGTCATAAATGTCCTGTGTTTCTTTCATTGCTTAAATATTGCCCCAAGCCCTTTTCTTTTATTATATCCCTTTGAAGTGTAGTAAACCATTTCCCAAAAGACACTTATCTAAAAGAAGGTTGACATTTGCAACAATAAGAAGCAGCATGCACTGTGTATTAATATGAGGGCCTGAAAGACTTGACATGCATCCCTCTAATTATTTTAGAGTTCTCTTCTCTGGCTGTGCATTCATTTATTATCAATAGAAATTAAAGTCTTTTAAATGTCAGTACTCCACACTACAGAAGCAGGGAAAATAAGTTAATACTAAGCAATGTCTATTGAGGACTCTTTTTTCTGTAAAAGCAGAGAGAAACATTTTTCTTAAAGTTATTTTTTTCCTATTTGATATAGATATGCCAATTATGATAAATTATGATTATGATATACTTTTCAGAGAAAAAGGACAGAGAAAAGAACCCCCCCAAAAAACTAATAAAAAACAAAGAACTAAGAGATGAATTGAATCATTCTAAAACACACACCTGACATATAGAAATATCCATCAATAATTCCCCAAAAATGGCAGAATTCAAGATTTGCTGGATCCACAGGTGTGCTACAAGCCTGCCTTTACCTACTTTTTAACTTTACCTACCACTTCTCCAATTAACATTCAGACTGGTTGTTAAATAGAAAATGGAAAAATAGGTAGAATGTGGGATGTGGGAAGGAAGGAGATAAATCTGCAAAGTTTGTCTTGACCGGTTAAATCTCAACTATATTTGAGTAAGTTTTATATTGAAGGTGCAGCAATTTTCCAATTATCTGGAATCAGGCATGCAAAATATTCAGGAGCAGGAAAAAAACGTGAAACTGAAAGTGAAATGGTTCAAAAGTAGTAAGAATGATAATACCAAATATTCCATAGTCATAGAATATAGCCTTCCTTAGGCCAGATATATAATAAAATATATTCAATCAGTGTCCACTTATCCGGTAAGATAAGGATCAGCCAGCTACTAAAGTATGCAAAACCAGAAATAATTTTTAATAATATATTTCCATATGTTAAGCATTTCATTTTAACTTAAAATAAGTGGAAATCCATTCAGTCATGCGTATTTTAACATGAGACCAAGCCCTTTTCTTTGAGTTAGTGTCTTCTGCCTCTCTTCCTCTTTCTTGCATAGTCACACAGGAAAGCGTCTTCCTCAAATTCCAGCTTAAGGCCGGGCGCTGTGGCTCACGTCTGTAATCCCAGCACTTTGGGAGGCCGAGGTGGGCAGATCACGACATCAGGAGATCGAGACCATCCTGGCTAACATGGTGAAACCCCGTCTCTACTAAAAATACAAAAAATTAGCAGGGCATGGTGGCGGGCACCTGTAGTCCCAGCTACTCGGAGGCTGAGGCAGGAGAATGGCGTGAACCCAGGAGGCGGAGCTTGCAGTGAGCCGAGATCATGCCACTGCACACCAGCCTGGGCCAACAGAGTGAGACTCTGTCTCAAAAAAAAAACAAAACAAACCAACAAACAAAAAAAACAACCAGCTTAAGTTAAAGTGGTCTTAGGGCTTAAAATTCCTTGCAAAACAATCTTACATGGTTTTGCTCTGTGTCCCCACCCAAATCTCATCTTGCATTGTAGTTTCCATAATTTCCACGTGTTGTAGCAGGGACCCAGTGGGAGATAATTGCATCATGAGGGCAGTTTCCCCCATACTGTTCTCATGGTAGTGAATAAATCTCATAAGATCTCATGGTTTTACAAGGGGCTTCTACTTTCTCTTCTTTCTCTTTCCCTCTTGCTGCTGCCATGTAAGAAGTGCCTTTTGCCTTCCCTCATGATTGTAAGGCCTCCCCAGCCACGTGAAACTGTGAGACCATTAAACCTACTTTTCTTCCCAGTCTTGGGTATGTCTTTATCAGTAGTGTGAAAATGCACTAAAACACTTTCTTTGTATTTACTCGTTTTCCCAAAATTTTTCAGTGTTCAAAATACTTCCTAAAGTATTCAACATAGTTTTGCTCATTCTTTCCACTTGCTTATTTTATCTCTTTACCTAATATTGAACTAGTTCACTTAATAACAATACAATTTAAAATAACCATTACAACTACAATAAAAAAAGTATGAAGGAAACAATTAATGGAACAGAAGTGAACAGACCAATGGAAGTGGTACCTATCACCTTCAGCATCATGGCTCTACAGAATACAACTGGCATTTGAATTAATCCAGTGAGAAGGTTAACTAGAGTTTTCCTATAATCTGTAATAATCAAATGAATGTTACACTTTGTTCAGAGCTTATTTTTTTAATATAGGCCTAAAGTTTGACAGGAACATATGTTATCAAAAATTATTTTCTTATATTTATATGATAATCTTCAGTTATCCAGAAAATTAACCTAATTCACTATAGCTCACACCCTTATGTTGTTAACTTAATGGGGTTTTGTATTAATATATAATAGTTTATGATTGTATAAATCATACTTTATTCAGGAGCTTAATTTTTAATTAAATTGTTTACTGAAACAGTTCTAAATTAATCAAAGTTCCAAAGAATGATTTCAAATACTGATATCAAATTTTAGTATTTGGTAAGGGACATTAGTCTATAATTTCTCTCATAGGCTAAAAGTTGAAGTCATTGGCTATTGAAAATTCTAGTGAGATATCTAAGGAAATGTAATTGAGTTACTTCAGATATTTCTTTCTTATGGTTTATAAAATCAATATAAAAAATTCTTTATACACAATGAATGCTAATTGTGCCTTAAGTCATTTTAGCCAAACAACAGAAAGAAAAACAAATGTAGACAAATAATATTTGAAATCTATTCATTAGTCATATATAATCAGATAAATATTTTAATATCTTCATAATATTTTAATAAAATTATTTCTTAATCAGGGATTTACCCTCCTACTTATAATCAGATTTTTCTTTCACAAACCACAATCATGAGGACAGAGATAAAACTAGTTAAGAAATCTTTTTAGTCTATAGCCATACTACCCTGAATGCACCTGATCTCTATCTCAGAAGCTAAGCAGGGTCAGACTTGGTTAGTACTTGGATGGAATGCCTTAAACTTAAAAACTGTTTTTAGTGTTCTCCACACATAACAGTGGTAATGTAAAATTTTAAAAATTCATTATGCTTTATAAAATATAGGTCTCACAATTGTAGTGCGAGAGTGTTTCATGGGAAAAATATCCAGGATTGTGCTCTTAAAAAGAAAACATAAAGGAAGCTTTAAGCATCAGAGAAGAGTTGGATAATTCTTTTCCAAAAATTCTCTGTTTTATTAAAGAACAAGCTAATTTGGAATGACTTTAGGGAAACAACAATACAAAGCCACTTATGGAGAAAATGCCCTATATCTAAAATATTAGAAATGAGAAAGATTATGAAGTACCTACCTAATACTAACTACAACCATGATTTTTTTATTGTGCAAGCAACTATTTATTTTCCCATTATCCATTAAAATGATAAAATTGTGGGAAACATTTAAACTCAAGCAAAGATGGCAGCACTTCTTTACAGTTCTTTGTTAATAAAAATTAATTTGTGCTCTCCTGAGGAAGATAGTCATTCATGCAATATAAAAGTGCTTTAGAAAAATTACAACAGTCTCTTCCTCATTCATCATAAATGTTTCATCCTGGTTTGTTAAAAGTCAGCAGAACACATATTTATGGTTCGGGTACATGGTAGTGTAATTATTTCTCTGTTTCCTTCTTTTGTCAACATTTAAAACATAGAAATATAATCTTATTGTGAATAAGCAATATTCTTGTGAAATGGGTAGTTTTGGAAGAAACTTCAAGTTGTCTTTTTATTTTGACAAACCACATAGATTTTTAAATATTGGTTACATATCTTATACATATTATGGCAAAGCAAAAAAGTAGCTTACATCTTTGGAAACTCTTAATATTGAAGTAGGAGAATTTTTCCAGCATCCATTTATTTAAAAAAGATTTTCCAATTTTAATTATTATTATTTTTCCATAAAATGTTGCTCTATAGATCACACTATCCCAGGTTTTTTACTTTCTCTTTATGGATACTGGCTTTGAAATCTCCTAATGCCCAATATTTAAAATAATTTCAATATATATCAAATGTCATCATCTTGGCATATAAAGCAGAAAATTGGAAGCAAATTTTGCCTTAGATATCTAAAGGACTCTGTCAGAGATGTAGGCTAGGGTAATAGCTAGGAAAATGTGGGTCAGTTATTTTATAGAACTCAGCATCCTCTGAATTTGCAGTCCGTGTGCTCATTTTGTAATGTAACTTTCAAGTGATATATATTTAGGAAAATCAATAATTTGAGATCTTTCTGTAGACAGATAAAGAAAAATGAATAAACTTGAATGTTAAAATTTGGCAGTAGGCTACAAAAATTTAAGTGCAGAATGTCGTGATTAAAATTAACCTCTTCAGAACCATATCAAGTAGAAAACGTAAGCACTTTATTCTCATACTTGTTACATTTCTAGCAAAATAAGCATTTAAAATAGTCACTGCTAGATGGTTAGTCGAGTTTATTGAGGCAAATCTCTGAACACCAGGCATAGCTATTTTGATTGCTTTTTTCTAGGATATGCTTGAGCAAGCAGCAAATTTAACTATACACACATAAACAGTTGTCATATATATGCATGTTTCAGTATATTTTCACATATCCCATTTTATTTGCTTCTTACAAAATTCCCGTGGGCTAGGTAATATTACTCCTATTTTACAGATGATGATATTAAGGCCCAGAATGGTTACATAATTTGGAGAAGACCTAAGTGTTAATTACCAGAGCAAGGGAATCTAAAGGTAAAGTGAGTCAGGCTGCGCTAACCTGAGTTAAGCTGAGCAATTAAGTGCTTCTGAATATGTTTGTTTTTTTTTTCATATGATAAGAGCCTCATGTTTAAATCACAGAGATCGAAATGTAATTATACTCGTATAATGTTGAGTTAGATTATACATATTTTTGAAAATTATCTCCTTCAGTATTGTCCTATTCAGGTATGGTAAAAATGTCACTGGCTAGAAACTCATCAAAAATAATTAAAGAGCTTTATGATCTTTTAAAAATTCTAAATTTAATTGGAATTTAGGTCCTTTGGTAAGAATGTAATAGAAATGTGTTTTTACTATGAATCTAAACCTATATTGAGGAAAGTTATAAAGCTATAATCCCCTTCTATACTTTGTAATCAGACCATACTTATTCATTTATTTGTTAATTTAGTATATATTCATTGAGTATCTATGAGTATTTTCAGGCACCATTCTATATTTCAGTAACATATTCAGCTATGGGCAACTCAGTTAAAAAGAAAAGAAAATTATACCACATACCTTGAGTGCCTATGAGGTACCAGACATTTTCGTGTCTAATAAAAATTATTATTTCAATAATAATGATAGTTACTAACATGTATTGAGAGTCTATTTTGTCCTAAATGTATAAAGAACATTAATTATTGTAAACTCACAAGAAACTTAAGAGGTAGATTTATTTTTATCCTCATCTTCCAAGGTTTGAGAGCCCAAGGTTTCAGAGCCACAACCTGTAAGCTAAGATTCGAACCCAAATAGTTTGGTAACAGACCCTTGTTCTTCACCACACACTGTATCTACTTTTTTATAACTTATAAGTACTTTTTATATATTATTTATTACAATTTTTACTTTAATCATCCGGGGCAAATATTACCTTCATTTTATAATTCAGGAAATTGAAGCTTATGAAAGAGGTTAAAAATTTGTCTCAAGTTATACATTTCTGTCTTACTCTCAAATCTACCATGCACAGTTATATTCAGGCTGTTTACTACTAGATTACTCAGGAGAAGATTAAGCATATATTTTGGACAGTAGCCAAATAAAGGTACAAAAAATGGACATATGTACTTCAAAAATAGTATATTTGCTGCTTAATAATTTTAAAAATCAACATAGTGAAGACAAAAACTATAACATAATTGTATTCCTTTGTTCCTTTTATCTGGTTCACTGTTGTTGTTTTCATTTGAGTTACATGTGGAGGGGTGAAGTGGCAGTGATAAGACACTACAGTTTTCCATGCTCAGAGCTTCTAAAAGTCTTACTCCTATTCTGTATATCTCATTTAATATTCACAAAAGTTACAAGAGGTAGCATTATTTGTGGAAGGAGGGAAGCTGAGAATATTGAATAGTTTGCTCGAGTTCACAAGATTATTACGTACACAGCAGATATGAAGTGTAAATGAAAGGTACTATGACTCCAAAATCCAGATTCTTTCCAAGATACCATATTGACAACTAGTCTAGTTAGAAGAATGCTACTGGGATAATGAGGAGATTTAAAATCATGTCATAAGAGAAGCAATTAAAAGAAATAAAGAGATTATTCTGAAGAGAAAAGTGACAGATTTGGAATTGACCTAAGAACTTGATCGACAGTCAAAGCTAATGCTAGGTGTGTTTGGGTAGAGACTGAGTCACCACTGGGGATGATGGAAAGACTATACAAGCACTAATGGTAAGGAGCAAGGCATTTAGAACACTGGCTCTCAACCATGGCTATATTTGGATATCATCTGAAAAATTAGAAAAAAATTGCCATGTGTTGGTACCACTTCCATCTATTCTGACTAAATTGGTATAAGGTGCAGCCAAGGCAAGAGGATATTTTAAAACTTCCTAGGGAAGCCGGGCGTGGTGGCCCACGCCTGTAATCTCAGCACTTTGGGAGGCTGAGGAGGGCGGATCACCAGGTCAGGAGATCGAGACCATCATGGCTAACATGATGAAACCCTGTCTCTACTAAAAATACAAAAAGAAATTAGCCTGGCGTGGTAGCGGGCGCCTGTAGTCCCAGCTACTCAGGAGGCTGAGGCAGGAGAATGGCGTGAACCCGGGAGGTGGAGCTTGCAGTGAGCCGAGATCGCGCCATTGCACGCTAGCCTGGGCGACTGAGTGAGACTCCCTCTCAAAAAAAATAAAAAAATAAATAAATAAATAAATAAAAAACTTCCTAGGTAAGTGGTTCTAACATTTAGCAAAATTTGACAACAAGACAATAAGTCCTGTAAAGTGTATATCACTCTTTAGAGTCTTTTGCCGTAAGAAGACTCAAATTTCATAGAACCACGAACAACAGCGGTTTTGGAAATTGGTGTTTAACAGAAGACCATCTTCCATCACACAGTAGTTTACATATTTGGGATCAAACAGAATGTAATTCTGTGTCTGCCAGCTAATCTGTCTATGGTTTGGTTGCTTCATCTATACAGTGGGATACTAACATTTCTCCCCTTACAGGCTAGTTAAGAGGATTAATAAAAGATCAGGCACAACATCTATGAAACAGTAGTTATTACTTGTATGATTAATTCCAGTGAGGTAGAAAGTACTGTGGAGCACTTTTTCCCCTATCTCCAAGCCCATGCATGGGTGTGTATGTGTATATTGGGGAAGTGGTGTATGGGAAGAACAGTGTGTTATGCTGTTGGATAATTACTGTCTTCTTTTTCTCCTCAGCTTTCTATTGCTTAATCAGTGTGCTATTATTTTTAAGGAGAAAGTGTAAGCTCACCAAGGTAATTAAAATTAATAGTATAGAGAATCCAAGGTTATAAGCACCCAGCTATATATCCACAGTAACCCCGAATGTTAATACTGCTGTGAATTGAATTAATTTTGACTTTTGTCCCTCTGTGAATCCAACAGGCAATAATAACAGGAAAGTATAAACATACTCAAACATTCAGCTATCATTGTTCTTTGTTTTTAATCTTATTGCAACAGATTCCTTTCCCAAATTGAACAAACTTTCTTTTGTAAGAATACCAAGGTCTTACATGCACATGTATGTTTATTGCAGCACTATTCACAATAGCAAAGACTTGGAACCAACCCAAATGCCCATCAATGAGAGATGAATAAAGAAAATGTGGCACATATACACCATGGAATGCTATGCGGCCATAAAAAAGATGAGTTAATGTCCTCTGCAGGGACATGGATGAAGCTGGAAGCCTTCATTCTCAGCAAACTAACACAGGGACAGAAAATCAAACACTGCATGTTCTCACTCATAAGTGGGAGTTGAACAATGAGAACACATGGACACAGGGAGGGGAACATCACATATTGGGGCCTGTTGGAGGGTGGGGGGCTAGGGGAGGGAGAGCATTAGGAGAAATACCTAATGAAGATGGCAGGTTGATGGGTGCAGCAAACCACCATGGCACGTGTATATCTATGTAACAAACCTGCATGTTCTGCACATGTACCCCAGAAGTGTGTATATATATATATATGACTACCAAGGTCTTGTTCATGTTTGTATGAGTTGATATCCTTTCATGATTATTTCAGCTTCTTTTAGAACTATAAGGAAAATGAATGTCAGAAAACAGGTTCACACTAATGCTTTGAGAACAAATATGCATCCCATTTCATACAAAATATTTTGTTAAAATAATTCATGAAACTAATGTTTTGGTTTATAAAGAATGGAATGAAGCGACAAATCTGCTAAATCCCCTGAATATGCATCTTTAAGGCAACTTTCATATGGAGCATTTCACTTCCATTAAGATGCTTTCAAATCTTGCTTCTATCTAGACTCTTTTTCAATGTCATTTTATTTTTCAATTATCCTTATGTTTGTATTTATTTAAAAGTTTTTTCTTTATTTTTCCAAATCTCTTTCCTACAGTGTACAATTGTTTTTGTGGCAAGCTGAATTTAGATTTCATTTTTATACTATTATCAGAATTTAAAGTCATTTTTGAGCAATCGCTCTCAGGTTCCTACTTCATAGATGTATGAAAAGGAAGAAACATAGTACTGTAATTAAGTACTATTTTTCTGGCCCCACCTTCAGTACATTGATGACCATGGACAAGTTACTTAAATTCTCTCTGCTTCATTTTTCACCTGCAAATTGATTAAATGAATAATATTTATAAAGCATTTAGATTATTGTCTGGTATTTAGTAAGTCTATAAAAATAAGCATAATGGATTTATTTTTGCATATTAGCATAGGACTTGACATCTAATAAGCAGGAAATGAATAAATCTGAAATCACTCAGTTATATTCACAACTAATTATTTGTACAAACTCAAATAATCACAATATCTTTAAGCTTCATAACTTAGCCTTAAACACAAAGATAATAAAACTTAGTTTGTGTCACAGAATTGCAGTGACAATCAGTCAACTGATGTTTAAAGTGCTTTACTAATGCAGGTTATGAAATATTGACACTAACTCAACTTATCTGATAATGTATTTTTATGTGTCAAGCAGAAAAGAGTTTGCTTAATGCAGGAAGCATAGCTTTGGGAAAGATATGAGCTCTTCCCAGGAAGAGGGTGTTCTGTACCAAGGAAATTTCTGAAAATATTGCTGATAATTTGAAAAATTGGATCCTATTGTATCTTATTGCACACAAAATATTAGCCATCCAGTTTTTAAAAGGGTTGCCTTAAGTAATTTTTAGTGCATTAAAATTTTGTGTGTAGTCTACCTTTGATTCTCACATTGTGAAAAAAATACATTTCTACTCAGCTGACTCGAAATGATCACAAATTCTGAATTAGTGAAATCTAAATTTGTAAAACTAATTAAACAACCACAGCATTTGTTCAGCATAAAATAACTAGATTATTGACATGTATATATTTAAAATATTGGGTATGAAGTCTCACTTCCCACTGAAAATTTCATCTATTTCTTTGCTCTTTCTCTTACTTGTGGAGAATGATGTCTTACTAAAGTGAAGTCGTTAATCGTTAACAGCCTCCAGTTAAATGCTTAAGTATTAAAATAAATCTTTTCTTCCCACAAATATTTATGAGTAAAGTTATAGCTCAATAAGGAAGACATATTTCCATCTTAATGTTAACATTAAATATTTAACTTGTGGTCTCTTGGCACATTTGTAGCTCATGTGGAAGAAACATCTGCATATCCTTTTCCACAGAGGGCATTTAATACTAAGGTGAACCATTCTAATTCAGAACATGCTGAATGTTTTCTTCACAAATAACTAAATTTAAGTTCATTGAGTGGTTACAACAATAAACAAGTTTATTTTCATTATGTGCCCTTAGTATTTTTCATTCTTAATTAAGATAATTTTTAACAAAATTTTTGTTCCTTTGTTTAATTTTAAGAAGCCATTTAAACGCTTTGGAATAAACAGTTAGTTGCCCATTTTACATTAGGATATGTTTCTAGATATACAGAAATGGGTGTGTGTGTGTGTGTGTGTGTGTGTGTGTAGGTATGTATTCCAACTTTACTGAATACACATAATTTAAACAGAGTACGCAAGTCAAACCATGAATATTAAAATGTATTTTTTCATGTTGAGTTTAGCTTGATATTAAAAAAAATTAGGATTAATTACTGTCTGAACTTTCTTTTTGAAAAATAAAACAAATATTTCATTGTATCTTGTGAACTTTACTTTGTTAGTGGACTACTTTGGGACGTGATATAACTTATTAGAATAAAATAAAAGCCAATGAGAAATCGTTTGTTTTCTAACGTAACATATCTAAACATATGCTAATACATTTTCTTATTCTATGTTTTTACTAACAATGCCACTCCTCATTTCATCTAAGGTAAATTCTGTTAGTATTTGGGGGTGACAGTGATGCTTTCTACCCACACATGAATTTAGAAAGAGTGAAACAAGATTTATCTCTTAAAATGTATAAAAAAATAATGACAAGTCTTCATAAAGTGACAGAATAATTTCTAGGCTTTTAGGAGTATGTTATGAATGACGATACTATTAGCATAACTAAAGAAAGAATATGTCAGCCAGAAGGGAGCTTGTTTAACCCAAGAAGCATGACATGAGGAAAGATATGATTTCTTCCCAAGAAGAAGAGGTTCTGTTTCAAGAATATTGCCTTGTAGGTTTATTTTCATTATAATGTTACTTAACATCAAAATGAAACAACTGATTATTTCACTAATTAACATGCTTGCTATGCCAATTTTATTATAATGTGGCTTTTTTTGTGCCACCTACATGGCAATAAAGTTGAATAATTTAACTGCTTCTCTGGTATCAGGGGAACCAGCCCCTAATATTTCAGCACAGGTTCTTTTCTATTTCCCTAAGTGTCGGCCGGTCTGAGAAATAAAGGGAAAGACTAAAAAAGGGAGAAATTTTAAAGCCTTGGGAGACATCACATGTCAGCAGGTTCTGTGATGCCCCCTGAGCCACAAAACCAGCAAGTTTTTATTAGCGATTTTCAAAGGGGAGGGAGTGTATGAATAGGGTGTGGGTCACAGAGATCACATGCTTCAAGGGCAATAAAATATCACAAGGCAAATGGGTAGGACAAGGTCACTAGGCCAGGGCAAAACTAGAATTGCTGATGAAGCTTCATGTCCCACTGTGTATGCATTGTCATTGATAAACATCTTAACAGGGTTCGAGAGCAGAGAACCGGTCTGACTAGAATTCGCCAGGCTGGAATTTCCTAATCCTAGCAAGGCTGGGGGCCCTGCAGGAGACCAGGGCTTCTTTCATCCCTATCTGCAACTGCATAAGGCAGACACTCCAAGAGCGGCCATTTTAGAGGGCCCCCCCACCCAACCAGGAATGCATTCTTTTCCCAAGGCTGTTAATTATTAATATTCCTTACTGGGGAAAGAATTGAGCGATATTTCTCTTACTCATTTTTGGTAATAAGAGAAATATGACTCTTGTTACTGCTCCCAGGAAGTCAGACTTAATGGTTATCTCCCTTGTTCCCTGAACATCTCTGTTATCCTGTTCCTTTTTCAAGGTGCCCAGATCTCATATTGTTCAAACACACATGCTTTACGAACAATTTGTGCAGTTAACACAATCATCACAGGGTCCTGAGGTGACATACATCCTCAGTTTATGAAGATAATGGGATTAAGAGATTAAAGTAAAGACAGGCATAGGAAATATAAGAGTATTGATTGGGGAAGTGATAAATGTCCATGAAATCTTCACAATTTATGTTCAGAGATTGCAGTAAAGACAGGCATAAGAAATTATAAAAGTATTAATTTGGAGAACTAACAAATGTCCATGAAATCTTCACAATTTATGTTCTTCTGTCACAGCTTCAGCAGGTCCCTCCTTTCGGTGTCCCTGACTTCCTGCAACACTCTGGTGTAGTATTGTTCTAATAACTTGAATAAATCAGAATCCTGAATTTATACCTCAGTCTCATGAACTCAGTTTTTGTGAGTCTGCCCACAAGGGTGATGGATTTGCTCTTAAAATGCTAAAAGTAGTTTATCATTCTGTAATGCTAATGGTTAGACACTGCACTTTTGAAAACTCACTATCAACTGTGACATTCCCTCAATAATAATAGTAATAAGGTTATTAGACACATATAGATCTAACATGTGAGACATTATTGTAAGCACTTTTAATACACTCTATGGTTATAAGAGGTCTGTGAGTTATATATTTTTATTATATTCTTTTTTCAGGTGAAGAAATTGACTCAGAAAAATAAATGGTAAAGGCTGTCATCAAGCCTAGGTATTCTGTCCCAGAAACTATGCCCTTGACCTCTATGTGCCAGAATGCTTACAGAGAACTTATCAATATGACCATTAATATTCCACAATGCTTATTAACATCAACATTAATATTACAGACTATTTTATCTTTCTGCTTGACAGTGTTTGCTTTAAAACAAGGCAGATATGAATAGGCTGGTCACTAAATGACAAATACTGTAAAATTCTACTTATATGAAGTAATCACAGTAGTAAAAATCATAGAGATAATAGAATGATGGTTGCCAGAGACTGAGGGAAAGAAGGAAAATATTGTTTTTACATTACTTAGTAATGTATCTGTGTTCTAGCGATGCTATAATATGCTACTTCCAGTCAAATATTGAAATTATTAGAAAATAGAAATGATTTTTAAATTATTCTTGGAATTATTACCTATAACATTTTAAAATGCAGAAAGCTCAAAAAGTTAACTATGTTTTCCCCCAAAATTAAAAAAAATACTGTTAAGGTACACATGACATAAAATTTAGCATCTTTACCACTTTTGAGTATGCAGTTCAGTGCTATTAAATACATTCATAATGTTGTACAACTATTGCCCCCATCCAACTCCATAATGAATCTTGTAAAACTGAAGATTTGTAGCCATTGAAGAACAACTCCCTCTTTTCCCTTTTCATTCAGTCTCTTACAACCACCATTCTGTTTCCAGCCTTTATAATTTTACTCCAAGTATCTAATATAAGTAGAATCAGATAGTACTTGTCATTTTATGATTGGCTTATTTCACATAGCATGATGTTGTCTAGATTGATCCATGCTGAAGCACATCAGAATTTCTCTATATATCTGAATAATATTCCATCGTATACATATATACACCAAAATTTGACTTAATTTGTATTCTAAGGATAGATTTGTAGTCTATCTTGGAAAATATCCCATGTGCAATTGAGAAGAATGTGTTTGCTGTTGTCGAGTAAAGTCTTCTGTGTATACGTCTGTTAGATCTATTTGGTTTATTGTGTTGATTCTAACATTTCCCTGCTTATCTTCTGTTTGGTTGTTCTATCCTTGATTGAGAGAAGAGTACTGAAGTATTTATTTCTCCCTTAAATTCTGTGTTTTTGTTTCATATATTTTGATAGTCTGTTACTGATATAGTTTCAATCTGTGTCCCTGACCAAATCTCATGTTGAATTGCAATCCCCAATGTTGGAGGTGGGGCCTGGTGGGAGGTGATTGGATCATGGGGGCAGTTTCTCACAAATGGTTTAGCACCGTCCCCCTTAATACTGTCCTCGTGATAGTGAGTTCTCATGAGATCTGGTTATTTTAAAGTGTGTAGCACCTCCCCCCACTCCTCTCTTGCTCCTTCTTGCACCATGTGTGACGTCTCACTCCCACTTTGCCTTCTGCCATGACTGGAGGTTTCCTGAGGCCTCCCCAGAAGCAGAAGCTGCTATGCTTCCTATAGGCCTGAAGAACCATGAGGTGTATTTCTTTATAGCAATGAAACAATGAACTAATACAGTTACTATGTGCATAAATGCTTATAATTGTTATATCTTGTTTAAATTTTTATATCTTATTGTTAAGTCTATTTTGTCTAATATTAGTATAGCAGCCACCCCTGCTCCCTTTTGGGTACTAAATCCTTAGAATATATTTTTAATCCTTTGACTTTCATAAGTATCTATTTGTGTCTTTGGTTCTAAAGTGATTCCTTTATAGATAGCATATACATTTTACCCACGAACAGTGCAGGGTATAGGGGTGCTGAACCCCACACAGTTGAAAATCTGCATATGAATCTTGACTCCCCACACACTTAACTAATAGCTTACTTTTGACGAAAGTTTACCAATAGCACAGACAATTGATTAACACATATTTTGTATATTATATAAATTATATAATGTATTCTTAAAGTAAGCCAGAGAAAAGAAAACGTTATTCAGAAAATCATAAAGAAGAGAAAACATTTACCACTCTTTGAGTGGCAGTAGATCATCATATAGGTCTTTATCCTCATTGTCTTCACTTTTGAGTAGGCTGAGCAGGAGGAGAAAGAGGAACAGTTGGTCTTGCTGTCTCAGAAGTGGCAGAGGTAGAAGAAAATCTGCATGTAAGTGAACCCATGCAGTTCAAGCCCATGCTGTTCAAGGGTCAACTGTAGCTCGATCACCCTCTTTTTTTTTTTAGTCCATTCTGCCAATCTCTCCTTTGATTCAGGTGTTTAATTCATTTACACTTAACATAGTTACTAATAAGGAGGTATTTCTTTATGTCATTTTACTATTTGTATCTTTTGATATGCCTTATGCTTACTTGTCCCTCATTTCCTGCATTACTATCTTCCTTTGTGTTCAGTTGGGTTTTGGTAGTGAAACATTTTTTTTAAAATGAGAAAGAAATTTCTCATTTCCTTTTTTGTATACATTTAATGTCCTAAAGTTATATCATTCTAATTTGAATTTATTCTAGCTAAACTTCAATAACATACACAAACCCTGCTTCTTTTCAGCTACATTCACATCCATTTTGGTTGGCAAGGTCACAGAATTGTGTCTTTATGCATTACATGACCAACATATTAAAAAATAATTCTTCTAAATGCATTAGTCATTAAACTTATGTAGAAATAAAACGTGGAGCTGCAAACCAAAGTTACAATAATGTTAGTTTTCACATTGGTATTTCTGAATCTATGTAGTCTCTGAAATCATGTAGCAAACAAAAGTGGAGTTACAAACCATTGTTACAATAATACCACTTTTTATGATTGTCCATGTACTTATCTTTATTTAAATCTTTATTTTTTCACACATCTTATTTTTAAGTTATTATTTTGTGTCCTTCTATTTTACTATGCAGGACTTCACTGAGTATTTCTCACAGAGTAAGTAGGTATAGTGATAAGAAACTCCCTCAGTTTTTATCTGGGAATGTCTAAATTTCCTCCCTCACTTTTGAAGGATAGTTTTGCCAGATATAGAATTATTTGTTGACAACAATTTTTTTTTCCTTTCAGCACTTTGAATATATTGGCCCACTGTCCTCTGTCTCCCAAAGATTCTGATGAGAAATCTGTTGATAATTTTATTGAAGATCCCACATATGTAATAAATTGCTTTTCTCTTGATGCTTTCAAGATTTTGTCTGTCTTCGAAAAGTTTGATTATAATGTGTATGTGTCTTTGAGTTCTTCTTACTTGTAGTTTATTGAGCTTCTTGGATGGTTATATTCATGTCCTTCATCAAATTTGAGAAATTTTCACCCATTCTTTCCTCAAATATTCTCTCTACCCTAACCATACCTCTTCTGTTACTCACACAGATTCGATGGCAACTGCTGAGTGACAACGCCAACTATATTAAAAACTCTCATTAATTACAACTGAAAATAGGACCATTATGTTTAACATATTATTATGTGGCATATATGTGCATATGGCCCTATTCTATATACGTATGTAATATTCCATAATTTTAATTGATTTAAATGAACAAATGTAATTGAGAAACTTTTATGTCGTAAATATGCTTGCTTAAATTAGATAATTGGACATAACCACTAATTTCAAATATTACTAAACTGTTATGTGAGAACCCACAAATGTGTGTAGGCATAGGACATGCAGATTATTTTACATATATATATATGCCAGATAACTACATGATTAACTTTATCTCTTGAGGAAGTATAGCACTTCCAGGATTGAATTCTGCCCTCATTATCTGCTATGTGACTACTATAGACTGAATACTTGTGTCCCCTCCCCACAAATTTAAATATTAAGTCCTTTATCCCTAGTGTTTTGGTATTTGGAGGTGGAGACTTTGGGAGGTAATTAGGTCATGAGGGTAGAGCCTTCATGAATAGAATTAGTGCCTGCATAATAAGGGAAATGATCTTTCTCTCCACCATGTGAAGATACAGCAAGAAAGTGGCAATCAACAAGCCAGGAGCAAGGCCCTCACTAGAACCCAACCATGCTGGCACCCTGATCTTGGACTTCTAGCCTCCAAAACTGTACAAAATAAATTTCTGGGTTTTAAGCTACCTAGTCTATGGTATTTGTTATAACAGCCTGAGCAACGACAGTGACCTTTGACAGATTCTCATTGTTTCAGTGTTCTTCCTCTCTATAGTGAGGACAATGGGTATACCTACTTCAGAGGTTTGTTGGGAAAGTAAAAGGAGCAAATCTATGTGTAAAATGCTCAGCATTATGCACAACACAGTTCATTCTCTATGTCACTATTGTCGTAATTTTTAATGAGATATTATATATTTTTATTTAGATTTTCTGAGTTATAAATGGAATTTTGGAGTATCCTGCTGGTGGTTTACTTGATATTTCCTTCTGTTTTTTTAAAAACACAATACTTTAGAATTGCTAGAGATTTTGGAAGAAAAGCAATATTAATAATTTCCAATACCACTCACCAACATAGGTTTGCATTGTGTTTTTTAAAAAAATTCTTCAAGTTCAATTTTATCACTTTGGAAGATACTCTGAGAACAGAACTACCAAAAAAAAGGCATCATTTAAATATCTAGGATGCAAGTAATGCCTAGTTTGCCATCTATTGAAAGAAACTTTACAAAGCCACACTATACAATACAAATATATATATATTTTTTAATTTGCATGCATGCCTAAAACACAATTCTAAATTTAGGGGAATCCAAATGAATGAAATATACCTATTTGCCTAGTCATTTCTCTACCTCTCACAATTATAATATCTGTAAAATTAAACAGGAAATGTTAGGAAAATCATATCTTAACTACATTTTAATTTTATTTAATGTTCTTTTTTAGCTCTGCTAAGTAAAGCAATAAACATACATATACACACACATACTTGCATAAATAAGTGCTCCATATAATAAAACACAGAGTAGTATCTGTTGTAAACTGCCTTTAAGAAACAGAAATCCAATCCATTTAAAACAATAAGAAAGAAATTTGCATTTTTTTTTCAAGCCATCTGGACAGATGATAGAAATAATCTGAATTCTTGATCAGTTCACAGATGTGTGAAAGGTGTGGGCAACCACTTATTCTATCACATAAGTCAAATTCATCTAAAGGTCCTTCAGGAGCCGGTGAAGGACATTTCTAAGCAGAAAGAGTTTAAGGGAAATCATAGTCCTAAAGAAAATTACATGTCATGAAATCATGGAAATGAATAAATCCCTGAACGACATTTTAGTTTTGAACATCTTGCATTCTGAGAAAGCTGTTTTTTTTTTTTATTATTCAGGACTACAATCTTTTCTTTCCCCCCAGAACACTTACTATGTGTCAAGAATTTGCCAAGTTCTTGGAGTTAAGATTAATAGGAAATGATCTCTGCCCTCAAGGAGCTGACAGTTCCAGCTGAGAAACCATGAATAGGTGCCCAGCATATTGAGTATCTGATACCCAGGAGAAACTTAATAGATATTTTCTTACTTAATGAATGTTGGTTATATGGAAACTACCAAGACAGCAGAAAGTATTATAAACAAACTTTAGGACTCAGAAAAGACTTTCTGGAAAAGATGAAAACTGATTTTTAAAGAAAAGAAGAGATTTCTAGACTTAAGGAGTAACTTAAGTAAAGGCCTAGAACAGAAAACCTACAATAAGCTGATTGGTCTGCTAACAGTGATAAGTGTGAGGTAGAATAAAGCTGTTATCCCTTTAGAGACAGAAAGTGAGGCAATATTGAAAGTCAGGTGATCCAAAAAAGTGAACCTTCTAGGAATGGTCATCGAAAGTGAATCCTAGAGCTCTAGGGTTCCTCCAACTTTTGTTCTTGAAACTTTCTAAGATTAAACTGAAAACGTATTTTCTTTTGTAGTCACATCTCTCGTAGCCCTTCTTAGTAAGTAAACTTAAACTATTGGGAAAAGAAAAAGGACTTTTTCCTCCCCCTTGGTTAAAATAATAGTACTGTCACAGTCTTTCAAAACATGTGACAACTAAAAACATAGAAATGGCTTAAAATGTGAACCAAATCAAGCCTTCAAATTTTAGAAAAAATATAAAACTACACCCCGAATTTTCAGATGTTTTATTTTAGAATAGTTTCTGATTCACAGAAAAATTTTAGCAATAATTTCTACTTGATTTATGTGATTTATACAGTGATTAAATTCAACCCAGCTTTTAAAATTCTATAGAGTAGACAGAAGCAAGAGCAAAAGAGAAAATTGATATCATAAAGAGCTCTATGGCAAAGTGTGTACCCACCTCTACAGAGAATGTCAGGGAACCTTTTCATTTTCATTAAGCACTTAATTTTTTCTAATAATTTTTATTTTAGAATAGAGTTACCAAAAAATTGTAAAGGTAGTATAGAATCCCCATGCATACCAGTTCCAGTATCCACAATAATATCTTATATTTGTATAGTGCATTTGTAATAATAATTAATATTGATACATTATTAACTAAAGTCGATATCTTTTTTCATATTTTTCTTAGTTTTTACCTAATATCCTTTTTCTGTTTCAGAAACCCATCCAGGATACCACATTACATTTGACCATCATGTCTCCTAAGGTCCTCTTAAGCTGTGACAGTTTCTCAGACAATCCTTGTTTTTGAATGACTTTGATAGTTTTGAGGGGTACTGTTGAGGTATTTTGCAGATTGTAGCTTACTTGGGATTTATATGATGTTTTTATAAGATTAGATTCTGAAGTTATGAGTTTTTCTGAGAAAAACCATCGAGGTGAAGTGCCAATCTTATCCAAGGATTCACACTATCAACATGACTCAACGTTGTTTATGTTGACATTGCTCACCTGACTGAGGTAGTGTTTTTCCAGTTTCTCTGCTATAAAGTTAGTTTTTCTCCTCTTGCCACACTCTAGGAGAAAATCCCTGTGTGCAGCTTATACTTAAACCTAAGGTGTAGGGATTATGTTGTATCTCCTTGAGGGATAAATACCTAAATAAATTAGTTGCAATTTTATGCTGAGATTTGCCTCATTTATTTGTTTATTCCTTTATATATGAGTGCATATGTGGGTATTTATCTTATACTTTGGATTATAATCCAATACTATTTTGTTTATCTTGTTGTTTAAATTGTTCTAGCATTGAACACTGGAGCTCTTTCAGTTGCCTTTTTGACTTACTACAATATGTGTGTTGTTTTGTTTTCTTTTCTTTTTTCTTGCTGTTGTCTCTCAGAACACGCCCTTAGTTTCTGGCACTATAACACATAATGCTCCAAGATTATCTTGTATACTTCCTGCCTAAGTCTTAGAATCAGACATTTATCCAAGGAGTCCCGGTTCGTGTTTTTTGTTGTTATTGTTTTGTTTTCTGTTGTTGTTTTTTTTGAGACAGAGTCTCACTCTGTCGCCTAGGCTGGAGCACAGTTGTGTGATCTCAACTCACTGCAACCTCCAACTGCCAGGTTTGAGTGATTCTCCTGTCTCAGCTCCCAAGTAGCTGGGACTGCAGACACGCACCACCACACCCGGCTAATTTTTTATATTTTCAGTAGAGACAGGGTTTCGCCATGTTGGCCATGCTGATCTCGAACTCCTGGCCTCAAGTGATCACTGGCCTCAACCTCCCAAAGTGCCGGGATTACAGGCATGAGCCACCATGCCCGGCCCTGGTTCCTTTCATTGGAGAATAATATTAAAAACCAAGACCTGAGCTCTAGTGTGCTTGTTAGTGTGTCATTGCCTCTAGGTCCTCTCAGTTGAGAGACCGAGGAAATATATGTGTGTCTAATAACCCACTTAGCTAAACATAAATTCATAGTGCTGTCCTAACTCTAATCTGTAAATACCTGGATTGTTCCAGGATCATCCCTGGCCTATCATTTCAATCCTGGCTTCCATCATTAACCAACCATCTACTTAATTCTTTAATTCCAGGCTTTTTTTTTTTTTTTGAGACGGAGTCTTGCTCTGTCGCCCAGGCTGGAGTGCAGTGGCACAATCTCGGCTCACTGCAAGCTCCGCCTCCCGGGTTCATGCCATTCTCCTGCCTCAGCCTCCTGAGTAGCTGGGACTACAGGCGCCCACCACCACACCCGGCTAATATTTTTGTATTTTTAATAGAGACAGGGTTTCACCGTGTTAGCCAGGATAGTCTTGATCTCCTGACCTCGTGATCCACCCGCCTCGGCCTCCCAAAGTGCTGGGATTACAGGTGTGAGCCACTGCACCGGGCCAATTCCAGTATTTTTAAACTCTATATTCTTGTCAGCTATTGTACTATCAGGTTTTGGACTTTAGCCATTCTAATAGGTGCTGAGAGATATGTAATTATTGTTGAATTTGTATGGCCCTAATGCAAATATTGTTGAGTCTCTTCATATGCTTACTTGCTATCCGTGTGTGTGTGTGTGTGTGTGTGTGTGTGTATGTGTGTATGTGTGTATGAGATGCCTTTTTTTAAATTTTCTGAGTACACAGTAGTTGTATATACTAATGGGGTACATGAGATATTTTAATATAGACATGCAATATGTAATAACCGCATCATGGAATGCTACTCCATTTTGTATATGTACCACATTTTCTTTATCCATTCATTTGTTGTTGATGGACACTTAGGTTGCTTCCAGATCTTAGCTATTGTAAACAGTGCTGCAACAAACATAGGAGTGCAGATATCTGTTTGATATACTGATTTCCTTTCTTTTGGGTATATACCCAGCATTGGGATTGCTGGATCATATGGTAGCTCACTTTTTAGTTTTTTTGAGGAATCTCCAGTCTTCTTGCCTGTCTTTCCTTCCTTCCGTCCTGTCTTCCCTTCAGTGAAGATTATTTTCTCAGGTGATATGCTTTAATTTCTCGCTTTTTAATTTTTTGTGTATCTGTTGTACGTTTCTCAATTTGAGGCTAAAATGAGGCTTGCAAATACCTCCTTATAACCCATTATTTTAAACTGATGACAACACTGATTCTGTATACAAACAGACATGCAAAAAGAAAACTAATTGAAAATCTACACTTTAACTTTGTCACCCTGCTTTTTAACTTTCTGTTTTCTCTCTTTATATTTTAATTGTACTGTTTATGTCTTGAAATGTTGTTGTGGTTATTTTTGATTTATTATTCAGTTAGTTTTTCTACTTCAGGTAAGAATAGCCTACACACCACTGGTCCAGTGCTTTTCTATGTGCTTACTACTACCAATTAGTTTTGTACCTTCAGATGATTTCTTCTTGCTCATTAATATCATTTTCTGGCCAGGCATGGTGGCTCACACCTGTAATCCCAACACTTTGGGAGGCCGAGGTGGGTGGATCACCTGAGGTTGGGAGTTCCAGACCAGCCTGACCAACATGAAGAAACCCCATCTCTACTAAAAATACAAAACTAACCGGACGTCGTGGCACATGCCTGTAATCCCAGCTACTCAGGAGGCTGAGGCAGGAGAATCGTTTGAACCTGGGAGGCAGAGGTTACAGTGAGCTGAGATCATGCCATTGCACTCCAGCCTGGGCAACAAGAGCGAAACTCCATCTCAAACAAACAAACAAAATATATATATATACACGTGTATATATAGTTTTCTTTCAGATTGAAATACTCCCTTTAGCATTTATTGTAGGACAGGTCTCCTGTTGATGAAATCCCTAAGTTTTTGTTTGTCTTGGGAAGACCTTTATTTCTCTTTCTTCTTGAGTATATTTCCATTGGTTGTATCATTCTAGGGTAACAGTTTTTTCCTTCAGCAATTTTAACATGTCATATCACTCTCTCCTGGCCTGTAAGGTTTCCACTAAAAGTCTGCTATTAGATGTTTTGGAGTTTCATTGTACGTTATTTGTTTATTTTCTCTTGCTGTTTTTAGTATCATTTCTTTATCCTTGACCTTTGGGAGTTTGATTATTCAATGCCTAGAGGTAGTCTTCTTCGAGTTAAACCTGCTTTGTGTTTTATAATCTTCTTACACTTGAATGTTGATATCTTTTTCTAGGTTTCAAAAGTTCTCTGTTATTATCCCTTTGAACAAGCTTTATACCACTATATCTTTCTCTACCTCCTCTTTAAAACCAATTACTCTTACATTTGCCTGTTTGAGGCTATTTTCCAGATCTTGCAGGTGTGCTTTATTGTTTTCTATTCTTTTTTCTTTTGCCTCCTCTGACCATGTATTTCCAAATGGCCTGTGGTCAAAGCTCACGAATTCTTTCTTCTGCTTGATCATTTCTGCTATTAAGAGACTCTAATGCATTCTTCAGTATGCCAATTGCATTTTTCAACTCCAAAATTTATGCTTGATTCTTTTAAATTATTTCAATCTCCTTGTTAAATTTATCTGATAGGATACTGAAATTTTCTCTGTGTTATCTTGAATTTCCTTGAGTTTCCTCAAAACAGCCATTTTGAATTATCTGTCTTAAAGGTCATTTATCTCTGTTTCTCCAGCATTGGTCCTTGGTGCCTTATTTAATTCTTTTTGTGAGGCCATATTTTCCTGGATGATGCTGATACTTGTAGATGTTCATTGGTATCTGGGCATTGAAGAGTTAGATATTTATTATCATCTTCACATTCTGGGCTTGCCCTCCTTGGGAAGGCTTTCCAGGAGTTGAAGGGACTTGGGTACCAAGCCCTATAATGCTGTGAATTTTGCAGACTTGTAGAGGTACCACCTTGGTGGACATGGATAAGATCCAGAATAATTCTCTGGATTACCAGGCAGAGACTTTTGTTCTTTTCTCTGACTTTCTCCCAAATAAGCAGAGACTTTCTCTCTCTGCACTTAGACACCTGGACCTGGGGATGTGGTGATGCAAGCACCCCTGTGACCACCACTACTGGGACTGTGCTGGGTCAGACCTGAAGCCAACACAGCACTGGGTGCTGCCCAAGGCCCTTCCCTTCAAG
The DNA here is from genome assembly GCF_000001405.40 of Homo sapiens. Classification (NCBI taxonomy): domain Eukaryota; kingdom Metazoa; phylum Chordata; class Mammalia; order Primates; family Hominidae; genus Homo; species Homo sapiens. The sequence continues at coordinate 91,244,345 of NC_000004.12, read as the reverse complement.
GTAGTAAGTTCCCCCAGGCTTGGAGCATGTCCAGAGATGCTGTCTGTGAACCAGGGCTTAGAGTCTGTAACCTTAACAGTATACCTGATGTTCTAGACTACAGTGGCTAAGCTGGCACTTACACTACAATACGAAGTCCTTCCCACTTTTCCTTCCCCTTTCCACAGGCATAGGAGCCTCTCTTTGGGGCCATCACCAAAACCACTCCATGGGGGTTCTGCCAGGCCACCACAAATGTTCATTTAAAACTCAAGGACTCTTCTATCAGTTTGCGGTGAATGCAGCCATGTCTGGGACTCACCCTTCAGGGCAGTGGACTCTCCTGTAGCCCAGGGAAGGTCAGGAAATGCTTTCTAAGAGCCTAGGCCTGGACTTAGGGACCCCAAGAGCTTGCTTATTGCTCTACCCTACTATAGCCAAGCTGGTACATAAGGTTCAAGACAAAGTCCTCTTTACTTTTCCCTCTGCTTTTCTTAAACAGAAGGAGTCTTTCACCATAGTGCCCACAGGTGGGAACGTGCTAGGTCACCCTTGAAGCCAGCATGTCTCAGAGGCAAAGGCCCACCACATACTCCGTGGGTATTACTGCTGGTTATTCAGGGACCAAGGGCTCTTTAGTCAGTATATGATGAATCCTGGAGAGAATGGGTTCTTCCCTTCAAAGCAGAGGTTGCTTTTGACCCAGGGAATGTCTAGAAATGTCATCTGGGAGCTAGGGTTTGGAATGGGGGCCTCCCTATTCTACCCAGTGCCCCGTCCTACTACCGCTGAGCTGGTATCTAACACATAAGACAAAGTCCTCTTTACTCTTTGACCTCCTCTCCTTAATCAGAAGGAATGAGTCACTTTCATTGCTGTGAGCTGGACTGCCTGGAGTTGATGGATGGATGGCACAAGCACTCCCTTAGCTGTGCCAGCAGCTGGTGTCTCCCTAGGTCAGTGCTACCCCAGTCCACTGGCTCTAATCCCAGACTAGCACTACAAGTTGCCTAGAAATTGCAGTTCTTGCGTGCTAGACTGCCTTTCAAGTTAATCTAGGAACACAGAGCACTTCAGCCCAAAGTGGTGAGGCTTGCCAACAAACTCAAGTTCTGAATGCTGGAGTGGGAAATTCCCCTCTGGTTAGGGCTGGTTGAAATGCTCCCTCCAGGTGCGGGCACTGGCTAAGCCCAGCTTGGCTTTATTTTCCACTGTGACAGGGCAGCACTGAGTTCAATGTAAAGTCCTCTGGTCACCACAGTCTCCCTCTCCAAAGTACACAGATTCTCTCTCCATGCTACATGGCTACCACTGGGAGAGGGGAGAGGCACTGGGAATTCAAGACTGTCTCTGACCCTCTTCACTGCCTCTTTTAGCCATATGAAGTTAAAATCAGGTACTGTGATTGGTTATCTGATTTTTTATTCTTGTGGTAGAGCTTCTCTGTGTGCAGAGAATTTATAAAATTTGGTGTTCCAGTGGCAGGGACAAACAACGTAGGCTTCTATTCCACCGTCTTGCTTTGACCCCCAACCTTTAGATCTTTTGTCCATTTTTCAACTGGGTTGTTTTCTTGAGTTTTAAGAGTTCTTTTATGTAGTTTGGATATAAGTGCTTTTCAAGTATGTATTTTATGAATATTTTATCCCAGTCCATGGCTAATATTTTTATTATTTAACTTTATTTTGCAGAGTAGATATTTTTAATTTCAATGAAGTCCAACTTGTCAAGATTTTTCTTTCATGAATAAGGTTTTTGGTATTGTATCTAAAACTCATCAACAAATTTAAGGTCATGTATATTTTCTCATATGTTTTCTTGCAGAATTTTTAAAGTTCTGCATTTTACATTTATACTTATAATCCATTTTGAGATAATTTTTATGAAAGATGTAAGGTCTGTGCAGAACACTATAACACAATTTTAGAAGTAAACTCAGATGAAGGTAATTATTAGATAGAAGAGAAACTTGAGTCATTTTAGTGTTTGCTTTTCTACAATAATGAAAATAAAGCCTCTAAAACCTGTACTACAACAGGTACAGTGCATTCTCCATGAATGGGATTTCCTACCTCTCCATGTCTATTTCCTGGTATTCTCTGCCTTGTTCATTACTCCCTTCCAATCACACCGTCCACTTTACTAGGCTCCAGGAGTTTCCCACCTCAGAATCTTGGCACATTCCATATCTTCTTTCTCAAACACATTTCCTTTTTTTTTCCAAATATCTGGTTTCATGTTAAATTTTTACCTCTGCTTAAAGATCTCCCCTAACCTTCTACCCTTTAGTTTAAAGAGGTTTTCCTCTTACTATCTTTCATTAACTTTGTTGTTTTTCTTTTGTCATTTACCAAAATGTAAAATTGCATACATATATATGCACATAAATATATATATATACGCACACAGTTGTGTGTGTAATATATGCAGAAACAAAAATATATAGAGATATTAGGGTTTTTAAGTTAAAATATGCATGGTGTTATGGATTAAGCATTTTTATTACCATATATCCCCTCCTTAGCACAATATCTAACACATGCTAGAGCTGCAATTCATTTTGGTATAATACTTTAGTTAATTTGCATCTTATTTTACAAAATGTAAATGGAACATTAATGTGTAAATAAAATTTTAAAAGTAAAATGTGGTGACAGATTATGGATATTAAATGGATATGAAAACACATGTATAGTTATAATAGTAATTATACCAAAATATATAAAAAGTATTTTATGGCTGGCCAGGCACGGTGCCTCATGTCTGTAATCCCAGCACTTTGGGAGGCTGAGGCGGGTGGATCAAGAGGTCAGGAGATCGAGACCATCCTGGCTAACACAGGGAAACCCCGTCTCTATTAAAAATACAGAAAAATTAGCCGGGCGTGGTGGCTGGCGTATGTAGTCCCAGCTACTCGGGAGGCTGAGGCAAGAGAATGGCGTGAACCTGGGAGGCGGAGCTTGCAGTGAGCCAAGATCGTGCCACTGCACTCCAGCCTGGGCGACAGAGCAAGACTCCGTCTCAAAAAAAAAAAAAAAATGTATTTTATGAGTAGAGATTTCAGTGTTCTAAAACAGGTGCACTGCATTAACCATTAGCCAAGAGAGACAAAAATGAGTACCTGCCAAGTATTCTCTAAGTCAGTAATGAGGCCACACGGCTTTATTTATAAACAAATTGATATGTTATCATGAAGATAATATTAATAAAAATTATTCTCTGAATGTGTCCTTTCTTTACAAATTGAATTTTTTCTTATGTAAATTATTTTAGTCAGTGACATGCACAGAAAAGCATGGGAGCAAGACAGATAAAAATATCTCATAATGACAGGTTAGAAAGTTCTAAAATAGGAACTACCATGAATCACATACGTATTAACATTAGATTTTACTTATGACAAAAATTCCAAATATTGAAAATCTTGTAAAAAGCCAATCCATCTGAATGTTTAATATATTTCTTCTTGTTGATGTGAAATTTTAGATATTGGTCATTCATAATTTAAGGATTTGCAATTTTTTATAGTCATCTGTAATATAAACATACATTTTCAAAAACACTGATTTTTCACCTGGATTTCTAAAATTTTGCTGAGAGCTGTCAGAGCTTCTCAGACTTCTTAATCATTGTGAGATTTACAAAGTATTTCTTAAGTAGCAAGAAAATCTCCCACATTGCAACCTCTGCAACTTATCAGAAAACTAAGGAAGCTATGACTTCACAATATGACATGTGCAAATGTGGCTGGGACCTTCACAGGTAATAGTCGTCAACGGTCTGTCAGAAGAGGCAGTATGTAGTTAAATTCGCACATTCTAAAATGAGACTGCCTAGATATTCGAACCCTAGTTTTGTTGCTTACTAGCTGTGTGATCTAGGGGAAATTATTTAACTTCCTTATACTTGAGTTATCCCATCCATAAGATGAAGTTGATTATAATGGTTGTGATGATTAGATGAATTAATGCATTACAAATGCTTAAAATAGGCCGGGCGCAGTGGCTCACGCTTGTAATACCAGCACTTTGGGAGGCTGAGGTGGGGGGGATCACGTGGTCAGAAGATCGAGACCATCCTGGCTAACACAGGGAAACCCCGTCTCTATTAAAAATACAGAAAAATTAGCCGGGCGTGGTGGCTGGCGTATGTAGTCCCAGCTACTCGGGAGGCTGAGGCAAGAGAATGGCGTGAACCTGGGAGGCGGAGCTTGCAGTGAGCCAAGATCGTGCCACTGCACTCCAGCCTGGGCGACAGAGCAAGACTCTGTCTCAAAAAAAAAAAAAAAAAATGTATTTTATGAGTAGAGATTTCAGTGTTCTAAAACAGGTGCACTGCATTAACCATTAGCCAAGAGAGACAAAAATGAGTACCTGCCAAGTATTCTCTAAGTCAGTAATGAGGCCACACGGCTTTATTTATAAACAAATTGATATGTTATCATGAAGATAATATTAATAAAAATTATTCTCTGAATGTGTCCTTTCTTTACAAATTGAATTTTTTCTTATGTAAATTATTTTAGTCAGTGACATGCACAGAAAAGCATGGGAGCAAGACAGATAAAAATATCTCATAATGACAGGTTAGAAAGTTCTAAAATAGGAACTACCATGAATCACATACGTATTAACATTAGATTTTACTTATGACAAAAATTCCAAATATTGAAAATCTTGTAAAAAGCCAATCCATCTGAATGTTTAATATATTTCTTCTTGTTGATGTGAAATTTTAGATATTGGTCATTCATAATTTAAGGATTTGCAATTTTTTATAGTCATCTGTAATATAAACATACATTTTCAAAAACACTGATTTTTCACCTGGATTTCTAAAATTTTGCTGAGAGCTGTCAGAGCTTCTCAGACTTCTTAATCATTGTGAGATTTACAAAGTATTTCTTAAGTAGCAAGAAAATCTCCCACATTGCAACCTCTGCAACTTATCAGAAAACTAAGGAAGCTATGACTTCACAATATGACATGTGCAAATGTGGCTGGGACCTTCACAGGTAATAGTCGTCAACGGTCTGTCAGAAGAGGCAGTATGTAGTTAAATTCGCACATTCTAAAATGAGACTGCCTAGATATTCGAACCCTAGTTTTGTTGCTTACTAGCTGTGTGATCTAGGGGAAATTATTTAACTTCCTTATACTTGAGTTATCCCATCCATAAGATGAAGTTGATTATAATGGTTGTGATGATTAGATGAATTAATGCATTACAAATGCTTAAAATAGGCCGGGCGCAGTGGCTCACGCTTGTAATACCAGCACTTTGGGAGGCTGAGGTGGGGGGGATCACGTGGTCAGAAGATCGAGACCATCCTGGCTAAAGTGGTGAAAACCTGTCTCTACTAAAAATACAAAAAAATTAGCCAGGCACGGTGGTGGGCACCTGTAGTCCCAGCTACTTGGGAGGCTGAGGCAGGAGAATTGCTTGAACTCTGGAGGCAGAGGTTGCGGTGAGCTGAGGTCCTGCCACTGCACTCTAGCCTGGGTGACCATGCGAGACTCCGTCTCAAAAAAAAAAAAATGCTTAAAATAGTATCTAACACTTAGTAATACTGAGTAAATGCAAACCGTTTTTATGAATTTTCTGGTCTACCTAACTATAGATCACCAGCTTTTGAAATGGCATGGCTGCAGAGATCCACTAATGGGTACTCAATACTGGATAATTACTGGCCAACCAATTGGATTATCTTCATTGATGACCTTAAATTAAAATAATAATAATAATAAGAGTAACAACACAGATAAACAAAGACACTAAGAGAAGGCAGTGGACTCCTTGTGTTAGATTTTTATTTCTGTGAACAAACTACCACCATTTTAGAGGCTTATAAAATAAAAAAGTTATTATCTCACAGTTTCCATAGATCAAGAGTCTGGCTATAGTATATTGGGTTCTCTGCTAAGGTTTTCACACAGCTGAAATCAAAATATCAGCCAAGTGCATTTACATCCTCATGTCTTTGGGAAAATTCATTTTTTTTTGCAGCGACATGACTGAGGTCCCCATTTCTTCTCTATCTATTGTCCCAGAACTGCTCTTAGCTCTGACATGCCACTCTCAGGCACTTACTATGTGGTTCCTCCATGGACCTTTTTATGCTTTGAATCTCTTTTAGGAAGTGCTTCATCTCTTTTAAACGTTCTTCTGATTGGGTAAGATCCACCCAGAATTATGTCTCTTTTGATAACGTCAAAGTCAACTGATTAGTAACCCAATCAAGGGAGTGAAATCCTGTTGACACTAAAGAAGAGCGGAATGATATAAAGAATGGGTCATTGGGGGTCATCTTTAAACTCTGCCTATCCCACTATGCAAAAGAGCACACTGCTCATTTTAATGGACTCTCTATCCCCAGAGGCTTCCTGACACATAATATAAATTCAAAAGAGAATTTTTGATCATATTAAAATCCACTCAAATGTTAGTTGGTTCCTTTTGGAATACTTTTAGTGCTCTCAAATAAATTCACTCACAGACAAGCACTGCTCAGCAAACTCGAATTTACTAAAGATTCTAGGGAGAGAAGAAAGAGACCATTTTTATTTCACACTTTACAGTGAACCACTTAAAATTTCTTTCTACATTTCCCTTGGCACTTGTGCTCTCTTTCTCTCTCCTCTGTCAGTCTCTGTCTCTCTCTCTCTCCCCAATCTAGAGTTTGCCCTGAACCTTCAAATACCTTTACTGACAAATAAATTTGTTCTATCTTAGTCTCTACCTTCAAAACCCCAAATAAGAATAGAGACGAATGAGTTAAGTGAAATAAAGTAGATATCAGTGAGATATTACATGCTACATATTTTTAGAGGTTGAAATAATTTTGAGAGAAAAAGAAGTTAAAAAATTAGGCTCTTTTTGCCTGATTTTGACAAAATTTCTGACTGCAGGACAGGACTTGCATGGGGGTGAGTAAACCAAGTTTATATATATGACAATATATATAAACTTTATATATATATATAAAGGCAAATTTTATCTTTGGTAATGCATTCTCAAGTTTTTGTTTTTTTGAGATAAATAAGTAATAAATCAGTAACCCTTCTTTCACTGATTATAACAGATGTCTAAGTATCTTTCTTAAACTCTAAAAAACATCTAATTTATGTTGAAATATAAATAAATTAGTTCATGCACAAGAATTGACAGGTATAAAAATAGTCAGGAAAGAAAGAATGGACATATAATATTCATTGATTTTATTGCAATGAAAAAAGATGATTGATTGTATAAATATAATGGGCATATAACCTACAAAGAAAGTAAAAACCTTGAATTTAAAACAGATTCAGTGATAACTTTACAAAGATTGAATAGTATGTTTAGGTCCAAATAAAAATATTCCAGAATAAAGTTAAAAATCTTTAACTCCACATTCAATATCCTACAAAATTGGGCCTAATATGTCTGGTCTTGCTCATGTCAGTGACATTGAAAAGGTACAGCTGATTATCTGGAGTATTCACTCCTTTATTTAAACACAACACTGGATTTCAATCTAGCTTCTATCCACTGCTTTCACAAAACCTTCCCAATGTCTACTGAGTTAGAAGCCTTCTCCTATTCTTTGAACTTCTATATCAGTTTTTATCTTGCCTCTGAAATAAGAACCATATATAAGCTTTTTAAATTTAAGTATTTGTCTATGCTTTGTTTCTTGGAAACTAGAAAATTAGAGAGTATGTCTTAATATTTTATTTATGCATTGATCATACAAATAGATATTAAGGAGCCACCATTTATTAGGTATGAAATAAAATTTTAAATACAGTATTCCATTTCCTTGACCTCAAAATTATAGAACACTGCATAGGCTAACATTTACCCACAAAGTTACCAATTTTTTTTTCTTTTTGTTTTGTTTCTGAGACGGAGTCTTGCTCTGTCACCCAGGCTGGAGTGCAGTGGTGTGATCTCGGCTCACTGCAACCTCCACCTCCCGGGTTCAAGCGATTCTTTTGCCTCAGCCTCCCGAGTAGCTGAGACTACAAGTGGCCGCCACACCCAGCTAATTTTTGTATTTTTAGTAGAGACGGGGTTTCACCATGTTGGCCAGGATGGTCTTGATCTCTTGACCTCATGATCCACCTGCCTCGGCCTCCCAAAGTGCTGGGATTACAGGCGTGAGCCACTGCGCCCGGCTGAAAGTATTTTTTTATATGTACAATGAGGCTGGGATAGATGACAATTAGCCATTTGGACAAAGTAGAAATTAGTATGAAATGTGCTAATTCTAAGTGATATTTGTAAGAGACGTGTGCATTACTTGAAGAGTACTTGCATCAATTCTCAACACCTCTAAATATGATTTTAATAAAAAATTTAACCCATTTTGATTGTTTTGATCCTTGGTTTAATAATGCCAATCAAAATGTGTCTAACTCAGTTAAAGCTGATAATTGCTGTCATGGCAACAGAAGTAATCATCCTATTAATAGTAATTATGATTCACTCACCATATAATTCAGTTATTTTTTAATCCAGCAGCACCTGAAAGAATCTCTTTTCTAATATTTCTGATCATTCTATACTTAGGGAAAACATAATTATATTTATTTTCTATAGTTAAATATTACCTAGTCATCAAATGAACACACATTCACACAGAATTCAAAAGAACGCCTTCTAATTGGCCTGATTACTTCTAATTGACCTTACGTAGCTCCTACACAAGGCCTGTCTCCTATTTAAAAAAAAATGAGGCTGCCCTATTTTGGATAAGTACAGAACATAAAACTTGATTTTAAACTATAAAAAGATACGTTGATTTTTGTCCCAATTTAAATCTAATATATCATGAAGATAGAATGGTGCTAGACAAATAAGAACAAACAAAATAAAATTTACTTTGTCCACAATTTTATAAAAATTCAAAAATGCATAATTATCAAATTTAGGCTAGAGTAAAAATGCCTCAGGCACTCTAAGTGAATATAAATTGAAGGTTTTCTATTTCTTCTGAGTGCATTAAAAAATATAACTTTAGTGTATTTTCAAGAACTCCTGTATACAGTTGAAGAAAGGATACTTGGTTTGCCAGTAACTTACATAAAACTATACTAACAATTTTACCTTCCTTATTACAAGTGTCTCATGAATCCATATGAATTTGCTATGTATACCTCTCTTCCAATAGGGGGAAACAAGTAACATTATGTTAACCTAGATTTTAGGAATACAATATCTCAGACAAAAGAGGAAAATAAGAATTTATATAGTGCTTTCTCTGTACTATATATTGTTCTAAGTGCTTGACTTATGTTGAATCACAAGGGTGTTCTTTGTTTTTTTCATTTTGCACATTAATAAGGCACAACTAGATAGGACGGAACCAAGATTCAAAGCCTGACTGGAGAGTTGGCACTCTTAACCTCTAGGCTATATTGCCTCTCAAAGGAATAGACTGCTTTGATGAAACTAATCATACCACAAATGATTGTTGAATTCCATGTTCCATAATTTAACAAGAGGCAATGATAACGTGAGTTTCTAAAGATGTGTGCTAAAAAGTCTAGAAACCATGACAACTGCATAGTCAAAGAAATGGGAACATGTAGATTTATAAAGGAAGAACCCCAGGGAGAAATTATTTAAAGCTTTCACAAATTTGAAGAAAGAATAGTAGAAGAAAGATTAGATTTACTCAAAGTGAAATGTCACTACAATAAATATTTTCATTTTCTTGCTATAAATTCTCAAATTTCCATCTGGACTATAAATGGCAAAAAGTGCAAGTTATACCTACAAAACTGTATAGTCTCATATCCCACATATTATTTTATGGTATTCAAATTTAGTTTATGCTTTCTAACAAGATAAATTCTATCCTGCATTCTGCAAAATATAAATATTTCTGGCTTTTAGGTCATTCTACAATCTTTCCTCTGGGGTTAAAATTGTTCGGTTTTGTTAGTTAACCTCTAATTGAGCTATCTGCTCAGACCCCAGGATTTATTTTAATTGAAACATCTATTAGAGCCATGGTGGAATAAGAAGGGGAAAAAAAGCAAATTGATGAGTATCTTCAAAGAATTACATTAGAATCAGAGTAAATGTTGAATGGCAAGATTGAATTTTAAAGGTTTACAATGCTTGTTTATCAAAGCTAATGGAAGAAGAAAGATGAGACTGAAGCGAACAAGGAGACCTGACTGGAAAACTAATGCAAAGTTGAAACTCTGAGGGCTCTTCTGACAAATGGATTTTACGCAATCAAAAATTCAAGGTGTTTTCCATTTTTGTTTAGATTTTCATTCTATTATCTTCTTATATAATGCTTCTAATCTTAATACTTTTTGTCTACTGTTGGGAAATACTTTTTTAGTAACATAAGTGAGAAAACATACTATATTTGCATTTCTAGAAGAGTTCACTAAATGCCTGACAGAAGTAAATGATAAACCCAAAATGCAGGTAATTGACATGGTTTATTTTGAATATATTAGTAATTGCTTTACTAAATTATACACTGTTGTTGAAGACTTATATTTTTTATTCGTTTGTAGTTGCCAAATGTCACATCTATAAAGGAAGGTTAAAAAAAAATCCTTAACATGTACTTTAAATGATGCATGCTGGTCATTAAACTGAATTTATATACTAAATAGACCATCTGTTGTGAGCAGAGATATATTTTCTAATTTTTCCTTTGTTTAGTTTGTAGGATAGATTTTTATTTTACTACTTGAATAAAAAGCTGAAGTTCAAATTATCAACCTTTGTGTAAGACAATATTGTTGGATGTTTCAAATTAGTAAAAGGGAAAGTAAGCAAACAGAAAAACCTTAGTAGCAATTTAATGGTTTATCTTGTTAATGACCTAATCAGCATTTTACAGAAACTTATCTTTTAAATTAGGCATTAGGTTTTGTGCCTGAGAGACTGGAGGAGTGTGTTCTATTCAATAACTTAAATAAAATTCACACTCAGTGACTCTTCTTGAATTCCAAGGAGATGTCCTGTAGTGAAGGTACGTATCTGCAAATTATTATCTCATTAGGTCTTTCACTTTCACTTCACTTTCCAAAGGTGTTATCTCTATGGCACATTTTTATTAAAATAAAATGATTTTTTTCTTTAACAAAGACTACTGAGAGAGTTTAATCAATAAGTGAGTACAAAATTAATCTCTTTCAGAACTCTAGTCGCTTGGAGAAGAGTGCTTTCTCATTGTTTTGGAGCAGGATCATTTATTGCCCCTTTCCCTTCCTCCCTTCCTCTCTTTCTCTCTTTCTCTTTCATAAAATAAGGCCCATTTTTTAAAACTCCAAACAGAGAAGCATATAAAGTAACCAGTAAATGATCTCTCCAATCCCCTCAATCCTAAGTAGCTAAGAGTTCCACTCCCCAGAGATTGCCATTGTTAATACTTTCTTGAGTACCCTTCTTGAAGCTTTTATACATATCTACCCATGTATATGTCTACATTTTCACACAGCACAAAACCCTGCCTTCCCTTCTGCATCTTAATTTTTTCCCCATATCGGTAATAGAGTTTTACCTCAATTTTCTAACACCAAATAAAATTCCACTTTAAAAGCAATCCTTTCTTAAAAGGACAAGTGCTCAGATATATCCAAATATTGGAATACACACAGAGATACATTTTAATTTTAACATTAAAATTTTGTCTTTATACAAGTATTTTATTTGGGTTCTAAGTAATTCAATATAAATACAGATTATATAATTTATACATTGTATATATGTGATATAAAATTCAACAGTTATAAATTTACATACCATGAAAAATATGTTTCTTTCCTATTCCTGTTCTCCAGCCACAAACGTTTCATATTCTGAGCAACTAGTTATTATAGGCATAGTTGTATTTCCGTTTGTTTACTTTCTATCCAAATGATAGTATATTATATACACTATGCTGTATCTTTTCCCCTTAATATATCTTATGGATAGTTTCACATCAATATATATGAGTCATCTGATTTGTTCTAACAACTCAGGGAATTCTACTGTATAGATATAAACACAATTTGTTGAAAAAGTCCCCTGTCAGTGGATATTGAGATTGTTTTTAAGCTTTCGCTATTGTAGATAAACACAACACTGAATATTCTTATATATACATTATTTCACAGGTGTGAAACAATTCCTGAAGTATAAAGTCCTAGAAATGTAATTGCTGAATTGAATGGCAGGGGCATTTTTAATTTTGAAAAATATTATTTACTTGCCCTCTGTATAAGTTGTAGCAATTTAAGCTTTTATAGTGTGTTCTATATCCTTGCCAAAATAGTAAATTATAAAACTTTTTAGTTTTTGCTAACCTGAACTAAAGTGCTATTTCTCTCCATATTTTTGTCATTTGTTTTAATTGCATGTGAAGTTGGCAATTTCTGATATATTTAGATCTATTTGTAAAGTCCCAAATGTTTTTGCTCTAAATTCAACAGTCCCTCAACTTAGGATGCATTTATTTACATTTGTGAATATTGATTTGGATTTTACCTGCATAAAGTCCAGTTCAGTACCATCATGGTCTCCTACTGAAGTATATTGAACTAGAAGTCCTGCCTTCTTTTTCGTTTGTATCTGCTTGGTATGACTTTGATACCTGGATATTATTGTGATTTTAATGTTAAATACAGATACATATGTCTTTTACATGAATTCATAAATATACGTAACTTTATATATATAACTATCCATATATAACTTTACATGAATTCATAAATGATGTATCATGCAAAATGTCTTTGAAAGAGGAGTCTTTATCTTTTTTCTTTTTAATTGAATTTCCTGTCATCTATCTTTTCCTCACAATAAATTTCATCTACAACACCTTCTCTACTCTTAAGTCATCTGTGTGAACAACCTATACGTATAATGGATTTTCTTCCATATTACTCAAACATGTTAATTCCCCCACCACACCTCTCTGTGTTTCATATGTATATGAAAAAACATATGTGTATGTGTGTGTAGGTGTTTCATTTTTGACCATTGTTTTACAAATGGAATTATCCTATACTCACATTTTTTATCTTTTAATTTTCCCACAAAATATCTCATGACCTTGAGTCAATGGACATATCTATGAATTAATTTTTAAAATACTGTTAATTATATTCCATTGTGGAGCTAAGCCATCTTTTATTCAACTATATCCCTTTCAACGACCATTCACTTTGTTTCCCCTTATTTTATGTATGCCATTGTGATTAATGCCACAATGAATACCGTCGTGCGTATATATTTATGAATATGTGTTTTTAATTTTGATAAGGATTCTCATTAATATGGTAGCTAAATCAAATCTTTATTTTATAAGATATTGCCAGAATTTTTCCAAAAAGGCTAAAACACCTTATATTCTTACTAGGAATATGTGAGTGTTTTATTTTCTTTGTACCCTAACAGACATATTAATATTATATTACTAACATTATTCTAAAATTCTTTTGAATTTCTGCCAATCTGATGGATTTGTGGTAAAATTTCATTGTTTATGTGTTTTATTCGAAACCTAATGACTTTAAGTATAATTTTTGGTCATTTGATCATTATTTTGTATATTTTAAAGAGTTATAATTGTGTTTTAACTTGTGATTCATTGTCTTCTGATTAAGGATTTTATTCATTTAATATTCGAAATTTGATCTTAAATCTATATTTTAAATTTTGAATAATATAAAAATATTGTATTATCTTTTACCTAATGGGCTGTGCTTGCTTTCCTTTGTTTTGTGTGTTTTTTTTCCTCCACACCCATGACACAGAAATAGATAGGCACAAATCATGTATATATTATGACTTCTATTTCTTAAAAAGTAATTTTAAAAATCTCTACAATGAGCAATTAAAAATCTCTAATTAGTGTTCATTTATTTCCAACTATCCTATTCTGGTCTACCTCATCATACACTTGTTTTTAGTTGAGCATATAGTTTTGTTAGTGTCGACCTTACATCTATAAGCAAACTCAATCAACCCTTATATTTTATCTATGCAGTTATTTATTTTGATTGTAAAGGAAGGAGCTGCCTCCAACTTTCCTCGTCCCTTTCTTTCCAAACTCTTGCTAGTGGTATAATTTTTTCACTGAAGTATCTGTGTATTTATGAGTATTTTATAATTACATAATTGTTGTAATCCTTACTCTACAGTTAAATGGATTCAACTTTTGTGCCATTTATTCGGTTATGTGGTATAGTTTTTCTATATATAGAAAAGTTTATGGCTAAAGTTTGTGGCTAAAGTTTATTTTGGAGGACTTTTGTTTCATCTCATAGCAAATAATTCCTTGAATTTTTAATGTTCAAAAACTCTTATCTGTTGCTTTAGTACTCGAATGAATATTTGGTGGGGTACAAAAGAAATTAATTTTTTTTAACTTTAAGTTCTGGGATTCATGTGCAGAATGGGCAAATTTGTTACATAGGTATACATATGCCATGGTGGTTTGCTGCGCCTGTCAACCAATCATCTAGGCTTTGAGCCCTGTGTGCATTAGGTATTTTGTCTAATGCTCTCCCTCCCTTTTCCCCTCAACCCCCGACAAGCCCCAGTATGTGATGTTCCCCTGCCTGTGTCCATGCGTTCTCATTGTTTAACTCCCACTAATGAGTGAGAACATGCGGTGTTTGGTTTCCTGTTCCTGTGTTAGTTTGCTGAGAATGAGGCTTCCAGCTTCATCCATGTCCCTGCACAGGAAATGAACTCATTCTTTTTTACAGGTGCATAGTATTCCATGGTGTATATGTGCCACATTTTCTTTATCTAGTCTATCATTGATGGGCATTTGGGTTGGTTCTGAGTCTTTGCTATTGTGAATAGTGCCGCAATAAACATACATGTGCATGTGTCTTTACAGTAGAATGAGAAATCAAATTTTTTAAACTTTGCAAGAATTAATCCTCTGAGTTCTAGAATTTAATGTCATTGGGAGAAGTTTAAGACTAACATAATTTTTTATCCCTCAGATGACTGGAGAATTCTCCGCAAATTCCCCAAAGAGTACTCTGTTTTTTTTTTAATTCAAAACATATCTAGAAGTAATATACTTATGTTTCTTCACTTGAGTACCTTTTTTTTTTTTTTGCAGGTTTTTGTTTTTTGGGGTTTTTTTGATAGAGGTCTCAGGTTAGAGTCATATTGCCCATTAGCAGCCCATCTTCCTAATTTATTTTGAAGTTGCCTGTAAAACACAAGGTTTTGTGTGCGAATGTGTTCTTTTAACCTTTACCTTTCCTCGTTCATCACAAATTGGCAGCTGCATGCTGCTCATACTGCAGACTCCTTGCATTGGCCACACAAATGATGATTCAATGTGATTTATCATTGGCCCGCTCTACAGCTTGCTGTTGCCAAACTGGTTATAGAATGCTCCCAAAGCTATCTTGCTCAGATTACTGATGTTACAAATAAAGGATTGTTGTCTTTCCGTTACAAGATATGTAACATATATTATATAACTGTGCTCTGGTAGTTTTATCTGTGATCAGTATCCTGGGGCCAGCTGAATGCTATCCCCAGAACCCTGTGTAACTATCAAGGCATTTCTCAGCCTTCCTCGTATGTTCTGGTTCATTGATACACACAGACTATATTTTATACATATTTGTAAATATTTTTTCTTGTTCTTATTTTTTTGCTATGAGGTGAAGGTGGCAGATTCCATTTATTCCATCTGTAATCAGAAATCAAACAATACAAAAGTGTTTATAGTCCAGGCTTTAATTTCATGAAATAGATTAAGATCAAAATACTTCTTTAAATTTAAATTTCAAAATGATCTTATTCTTTCTGCTGTTTAATGGATTATATATGTGTTTTATGCTGGAAATATAACACTAATAGAATATATTTAAAATAAGAGTATATTTCTTTAAAATTTTTTTGTTTATTTTCAGATTGATATATGTAACTAATCTCATTCTGCATTTCTGTAAAATTTAATGTTGGTATAACTTATGCAAGAAATTGAAAATTATATTTAAATTTTTTAGTATTTATGTGTATGTGCTTCCTTATAAACAATCTTGAAAATATGTTTTCTTCACCAAAGAAACAGGTGTCTGCTTCTAAAAACTAGATACGTACTTCTTTAGAAAAATGTGTTTGTTAGTTTTCAAGAACACTGAATAATTATTATATTCAAAATTGTACTTTAAGAAACCGAGTAGCAGGATACATATGTTTACTCAAATCATGACAATTGTCGGTCTTCTCAAAATATTTTCTGTTCCTTTCCTCACTCAATCTAGGATTTCTTTAATAATGGGAGAAGAAGCAGAAAATTTCCCTTGGTAGGTGAGTAAATGTGGTCAAGTACAAGAGTGGTTAAAGCAATGAAATAAAATAAAGTCACAGAACTGCATGCTGAGAGGAGAATTCTGACTGGCTCAATATTTACATGCAAAAAATAAAAACCAAATAGAGGATGAATCTACAAATTCTCTTTTTATTTCTTTTTCTTCACTTACAAACAGCCTGCACTTTTTGACACAGAGGCAATTGAGATATTTTTTCTCAAAACTGACAAAATTTCAACTTAAAGAACCAAACACAAAATTTCATGGACCCTATTTGGTAATTCATAATTTAAATGTTATGTAATGCCTTTCCTGTTTTCACATATAAGTGAGACCTAAATGGGTACACGTGGACATGAAGATGGAAACAATGGACACTGTGGACTCCAAAAGGGGAAGGGAGGGAGGGGAAAAGAATTGAAAAACTATCTTATTGTATACTATGTTCAATATTTGGGTGATGGTTTCACTAGATACCCAAACCCCAGCATTATGCAATATACTTGGGTAAAAAAAAAAACCAGTACATGTACCCCATGAATCTAAAAAAAAATTAAAATAAACACTGTTTCTTTGCTAAATATCATTGCAAAATAGTTTTGTCTTCATACACATACACACACACAAACACACACACACATTATAATGTTATTAAAATTAGAATGCTCTTGACGGTTTCTATGAGTCAATGTGTAGATTCCAGCCAAGAGAAATCACTGAGTGTCATTTTTGTACTCTATTTTATGCTTGCTGATCTCCTTTATTTGCTGGTTTCCTTTTTTTTTAACTAAATATTGTCTGTTGTTTTAAGTTGTAGCTATTTTTCAACTCCTTTATGGTATAAGAATATTTATGAACTATTATATAAAACTAGCATTAATGCATTATATGTTTTAGATAACTAACTAAAATTAAATTGTAGGAAGCAGTTCATTAATAAGTCAAGGTTTCTTATGCAATGACATAGCTAACTAATAATACAAAGATAAACTATTGGGTAACTAGCTATATATTACGTAATAATGATAGAGAACAGCTTTTGAGTGTGCAGTTATGTCAGGCACTGTGCTAATAGATGTGGATCAATTCATGTAATCCTCATAATCCTTTAACTCTAAATATTATGATAATTTATGACCATTTTACAGATGATGCAACTGAGACTGTGATATATTTACTTAAACTCACATGGCTAGTAACTATTGAAGTGATATTCAAACTGAAATAATCTCAACTGAAAGTATATAATGCTCTAAACCATTGGACCACACAATGATTTCCTGTATTTAAAGAGCAAACTCCATTGTGCAAATGAAATGTACAAGTTTATCCAACAACCCCACCCTAAGAAAAAGAGAAAGAGACAAATGCATAGAATTTTACTTGAAGTTTCATAATACGTAAGTGCTGAAATAATATTTAAGCGTCTTACTTCAAAGTACACCCACATCTTTAATCACTACAAAATTATTTAGCATATACGATTCCATTAAAGAGACACTTTCCAGAGTCCAATCCAAATGTCTTTAGATTTATCCATTCACTTCACATGCCCCCATAAAGATATATTAAACGCTATAAAATTCTGCCCTATTTGTATTTAAGAAGATAACTTTTCATTTAAATCATTAGCATAAAACTTTCTCTGTTACTCATTTTCAGATTTTCAAACTCTTATTTTTCTTGCAAATTCCAATGATTTATCATAGCTGTGTTGCACAAATAAGTATCTTAGAAATTCAAATGTAATAAACACCAATAAATATATTCTTCCAAATTAACTGATCTACCTTTCCATATGTTTTATCAAATCTCTTTCTGAATCACCATCATTTGCTGCCTTGCATTTTTCCTTGACCACTTCTTTAATATATCTTTCATTGTCTTCTTTTAGTCCTTTTCTCTGAGTCATTAATTTTAGGAATTTAATTCTGCTTAGGAGATATACCTAATGTTAAATGACGAGTTAATGGGTGCAGCACACCAACATCGCACTTGTATACATATGTAACTAACCTGCACATTGTGTACATGTACCCTAAAACTTAAAGTATAATTTTAAAAAAAGGAATTTAATTCTGCTAATGTTTTTGTCTGTCAACTTACAAATTATTTCTACTTCCCTTATTCAGACCATATGTTACCTCCCTTTTGTGGCATGCTTGCAATAGCAGTCTGAGCTCAGGTTTAGTTACTCAGATTCTACCATAAGAATCACCTCTGCTCCTAACCCATTCTAACCCCTTTTAAAGGTTTTTTCTGAGTATGCAATGTAAGACAATTTACCCAATGTCGCACAGATTGAAACCATCAAAATCAGGATTTAAACCAAACTCTGAGGATAAAGGTTGTGCATGAATACATGAGAGACTGAAAATTAAGGTTATGGCAACAAAACATGCAGCAGGTCAATGGCATAGAGAAACAGAATACACAAATTCTGCCTTCCTTTGTGGGTTCTTAACAATATTTAGTTAAAAGGTTTTAATCTACATCAAAAATATTTTTAAAATTGAATAATCTGTTTACTCTTTTCACATCCAGGAATATATTACCTGTCCTTTTATTCCTATGGAAAAAATATGTAGGTATCTATCCATCATAATTACACCTGAGTTTATAATTTGCAGTCTTAAATTTAAGAAATACTGTATATTTTCATATATATAATATATATGAATATATATATTATATCATATATATTACATATATAATATATATACATATATATTACATATATAATATATATACATATATATTACATATATAATATATATACATATATATTACATATATAAAATGTATATAATTATATACATGTATATGTATATAATTATACATGTATATAACTGTATACAATTATATATTATATATATTATATATAATTATATACATATATACACACACACATATATATATCATATTTCTTGTTTCCAGGTAAAACTCTATCACAGTAACATTTTATTTCAAGAATTCTACCTTACTGTGATAAGAAATTCTAAAACATTGCTATTTTTATAAATAAAATTATGAAATTTTATATATGTTTAAAATATTGATTTGATATAAAAAGTATTTTCAGGGGTAGCATCTTGTTAAATTGGAATTCAATGGATAAATTTGCAGATATTTAATATTGCCTCTTCTAACATTTACCTAATACACATTTTTTCATTCTTAATCCCTGTGAGTCAACATCAAATCTATTGTTAAATTTGTTTTCTCACTGTAGTCTCTCACAAGGAATTTATTCATGGTTAAAAAAAATAGTAACAATGAGAAGAAATGATAGGAATTTGGAAAGGAAATATTCTCATGTTTAATGCCCAAATTATTTTAGCATAGGCTGGACACATTTATAAAGGGAGATGTTAGTGTATATTTGGAATGTAATGTTCAAAACTTACACTTGACCCTTTAGGTTTCCTAATTATTGATATTTTTGTCCTATGTGATATGAATTAGCTGTCCATATAGATAAGATTAAATAACCTGCCTTATTAAATTTAATTCAAACAATAAAATTAAAATTTCAGTTAGTCACGTAGTCATATTTCAAGTGCTCAGTAACCACATATGACTAATAGCACATACGAAAAGTGCAGATATAAAATATTTCCATTGTCACACAAAGACATTGGACAAATCTAAGAAGAATATGGAAAAATGTTTTCGTTTTTGCTTTTAGTCACAGACTTAAAGAATGAACATTAAACAAGGACCTCATCTCTTTGCCTCCCACAGTTTACTTACAATTTTGTTTTCTTTCTTCTTGTTAAAGTGCTGCATACTTTTGTATAAATTACCATTTCGTTAAATATATGTAAGCAGCACAGTAGATAAAGGTAGACCGATGCGAGTGGATTTGCAGCAATGCTAACTTGCATGCTTTAGCGAATTTGCTTTCTAAGCCAAGTAAGGTTTTGGTTTGCTTTTCCTCTCACATTAAGCGCGGGAGTTATTAATATTTTCAAGAACAGCTCAGTCACCGCACTATTTCTGCCAAAAAAAAAAAAAGCCACTTTGAGCAACTTCTGAAGTGCCTGAATTTAAGCCTTCCTTCCAAATATGAATATTGTTTGGAAATAATCTTTTAGTTATAAAAAGGTACCTTACTATTAATTTTTATACTCAATAAATATTTCATTTTTGAAAGGATGAACTTCATTGCATAGACAAAGTGCGTTCCAGAAAATGATAGATTGAATTAGCCAATACATCTGTGGTTGCTCATTTAACAGATGCAGACGTGATTGGTGTCTATATTATGAGTTTCTTAAGGATTTTCTCTATAACTCAGTCAGATTTATCCTATTTTATTAATAATGAAATCCAAACTCTTTGGACATCCTCAATAAATCCATTATGTGTCTCCAATCTTCCTTCTCAAATCTTCCCACCATTTGCCCTTGTATAGACCTATATACCTTCTCACTACCCATCCTCAGCTATGTTTTCCCTCCTAAAAACTATTTTTTCACCTTGCAAATTATCTGGGCCCTACCTAAATTTCAGTTATGTATTCTGAGGCCATCTGTGCCAGAGTGATTTTTCCCCCTTTGGAATTATTACAGCACTTACTCATTTTTAAGCACTTACTGATTTCTTCCTATCATATGCTAAAATTATTAATTCTTTATTATACTTATGTACCTTTTAAACCGACTTCTAGAGACCAAAAAGATTGCCTACATGTTTTTTTTTCTGTAGATACATTGGCTCAAAGTGTCTACATGTTTATGTGTTTTGACGATGATAGTGTATTGTCTACAATGCACTTTTCAGACATGTCTTCAAAATTTATTTGATTTCTAAACAAATAATATTTCTCTAAGGAAATAATACGAACTCACTATCTATTGCCTGCTCCTTGATATATTTTTACATTTTCTTTCCTGTTTGCTTGCTTTTTCTTTCATTTTGTTTTGTTTAGCAAAACTCATAAGATTTGAGACTGAAGGCATAATTTGAATTTTTTTAAGTTTTCCATTTTTTTGAGTATTCAATAAAATAAGAAAAAAACATTATTTTAAAGATTCAGTTAGTGATGTCAACTAATATCTTATAAATCAGGAAGATATCCAGTGTCCATAAGAAAATAAGAGATAGTTGTGATTTTTTTACACCAAGATAACATTGATAATATCTCTATTTTTCATAGGTACACTCTAAGGCTTTGCTCTCTGATATAGTAGCCACCAGCCACATGTGGCTATTTATTTTATATTCATTAAAATTAATTAACATTTAAAGTCAGTTTCCCAGTTGTACTAACTACATTTCCAGTGCCCAATAGTCACTGATGTCTAATGGCTATCATACTGGACAGCACAGAATGAATATTTCCATTATCACATACAATTTTGTTGGACAGCAGTGCTCAATGAATGGTTCTGCAATGCAAGGCAGTTTCCCCTAACACCTATTACTTCAGCCATCTTAGATACTAAAAAAACCCAGTAATTTGGCTTTAAAGTTGAATATAGAAAGGGAGGCCTTACCTGGGAAAGCATAAATATTATAATGGGAAGCTTATTTGAGATCGTTAAGCAAGCTCATCTGCACACAATTCTCAGGCACCAAAAGGTATAGTATGAGGAATAGATAAGTTCTTATAGAATACTAATTTCTAATCTTGTATTTATTGAACATTTTTACCTCTCTTACTTAAAGCTCTTTTGGCTACAAATTATAGAAAATAAATTGAGCTAAGTAAAAGGGGGGCATTTTAAGATTCAAAGAGGTTTTACAGAACTCAAGGGTGGCGATTATGGCTGTTGGATGCCTACTACACTCTCAGACTTTGTTTCAGTCTGGAATACGCCTCTCTCGGCTGTGCTCACCTTCCTGCATATGCTGCCTCCTTCTGCTTGTCTTGCAGAGCATAATCCGTGCTTCTTCATTCAGCCCTGAAAATCAGTTCACAGTAGCAGCCACACTTTCCCTCCCCCACATTTTCTCTCTCTCTCTTTATATATGTGTATATGTGATGGAGATAACACAGAATTAATGTATTTTTCCTCCTTTTCTTTGTAACAACATTATTGTGCATATTTTCTTCATAGAACATGCATTAGAGAATATATTTAATAGATTCAGAATATTCAGTTATAGTAAAACACAATTATTCATTATAATTTATTTATTTAACAATTTCCCTTTCGGACAATATGTTTTTGCCATAATTTGCTCTTATAAGTAATTATCCATAGTATACCCCATTTTTCTGAGCATAACCTTATCACACTGGACTCTAGCTATTTATTAATGGACTGTTTCCAGCATTAGAGCATATATATGAGTGCCGGGACTGTGTACAACTTGCTCATCTCTATACCCACAATGCTTGGCAGTGAACCTGAACATCTTTTAACCTCAATTTTAAACTTATGACTGAAATACCTATTAAAAGGGAGTAATTACTTTAAAGATCAGTTCGAACTATATGTGTTTGACCTGATGAAGTTATTATAATTTTATTAACAGATAAGCATATTTTTTATTTTCCAATCCATGCCTATGGGTTATTCATTCCATTGAAAATACACAAATATTAATTTTTCTCAGAAAATGTGCATAACCTTTTAAAGCTCTTAATATTATAACACTCTTTAATAAATGTGTATCTTGATCAATACTATCTATGTACTATAATAATAGAAATACAGGAAAATCTGAGTTACTAACTATGCACAGCCAAACAGAGGATTAGACTGTTTTCAATAAGGAAATTCATGATAACTTATTTAAAGAAATCATATTTATAGTAAAATAGCATTTACTTATTTCTTACACATAATCAAATAAATTGACTGCATTTTGTGGATAGTGAGATGTTAGAGGAAAACAACTATGTTATGATAGAAAAAATACAAGACAAATATAAATAAGAACTACTGGTAAGGTAATTACTAAAGACTGATATGAGTTTGAAAGGTTATATATGATGCTATGTAAAATAACATGAGGCCATCCTTCCAAAATGTTATATATTTTTATCTCACAGAATTTTAGGATTCTAAATTATCATAAAGGTAGCTTAATCCCTAGAGATTTTAGTTTATTTAACTAAATTAATATATCTGTATTGAATACGTCAGTTAATTTTTCAACTACACCATTTATCCTACATTTTCCGTACATATGACTTTTTCACATTTTGTTTTTTAAATTGTATGTATTTAAGGTGTAAAACATGATATTTTGATATATATGTATATATAGTGAAGTGCTTACTACAGTCAAGCAAATTAACATATGTATCATCTCATATAGTTATCTTTTTAAATTTTCCTTCTTTTCTTTCCTTTTTTTTCAGTAAGTGTACCTAAAACCTACTCTTTTGGCAAATCTATTTTCAGCACATCCCTCAGCACAACTGCTTGCAGGGTTATGTGAAGTAGGCCAAAAATAAAAAAAGAGAAAGACACTGCTACCGTTGTTGAACTAGTAAATTGCTCACTGAACAGTAAACTACTTACACAAAGAAAATTCCATGTACCAATTCCCTTTAACCCATATCACTTATTTCAGCTGTTTCTGAATTGTCACTCTTTTTGACACAGAAGACAGCTATTCCAAACCTTCATTGTATTCTAGCTCTTAGCAAACAGTGTATTTAAAGGAATTATTCCTGTTAATCACATAATCATAAAAAGTCAATTTTTAAATGTTCCATTAACTATATGATTGTTCAGGCAAAATAAATTCCTTGTCCCATCTGTCAGGTCATTGCCACCTTTTCAACGAGCACAGCAGCATGCAAGAAACGAGCATACATTTCCAGGGGCAATTCTTACTAGAATAACAAAACAAAAACTTCTTCTCAATTTATGACATTTAAAAAGACAGTAGTTAACAAGCAATGTGATGGGGATAAAAATACACTACCTGTGTACAATAATAATCTATCTGTCACTTGCTACCTTTGGCCTACGTTTTAACATGCCCAGTATAGTTCAACAGTTTCATTAAACCCTATGCTCTTCCCAAAAGTGACTCGGGAGGGAAGTGGTCAAAAGGGATAAACTGTGGATCTCCCATTCTCACTTGAACTAGAAGAACTCTAGGTTTAACTGATTTATATATGACGTTTTGAGTAAATTTACATTTTAAGAGAGGTTCTAAAAACACTGGTCAAATGAAAGTATGGGAAATACTCTACATAGAAATTTCTATCTATATAAATTTGTTTCTTTAAGACAGATATGAGAGACAGATACTAATCCTAACAATCATAGGTTTGTGATTAAAATTAATGGATTTAGGTTGGTAAAAATATATATTCTCCATAATTTTTATAAATATATTGTACTATTTTAGAAGCAGTAATCCTGATAAAAATATCATGTTACCAACAGGAATCTTTTGCCCTAAGTGAATGTAGCTCAGAGAAAGTTCTTGTGAATCTCTTCCTAACTTCCTTCTACCAAAAGCTTAAATACATAAATGTTACAATTTAAATTCAAACTGGGCTGGGCATGGTGGCTTATGCCTGTAATCCCAGAACTCTGGGAGGCCAAGGTGGTCAGATCACTTGAGGTCAGGAGTTCGAGACCAGCCTGGCCAACATGGTGAAACCCCATCTCTACAAAAATAGCCAGGTGTGGTGGCAGGCGACTGCAGACCCAGCTATTTGAGAGGCTGAGGCAGGAGAATCATTTGATCCCAGGAGGCAGAAGTTGCAGTGAGCCGAGATTGCACCACTGCACTCCAGCTGGGGTGACAGAGAGAGACTGTTTTAAAAAAAAAAAAAAAAAAAAAAAAGCCAAACTGTAAATATTGACTATTCACTTTTATTTGCCCAAAGAAAATTGGCCAGTGTAAAAATCATCTGTGAGATTGGACACATACTGGCTTTTATAACAATTATATTTGAAAATGAATTTTGAGATGTGTTTTTGAGGAATGATTAGAATAAATTTAAGAAACTTTGTATTACAGCCCATCAATTCAAATTAGCTTAAACCAAAAATATTTATACTACTGAAAAATTCAGGAATATTTAGGCTTGCCTGAATCTATGTGTGGGGAGGAGATTATTGGAACTCTTTCTCCCTCCATGTTCTGTCTTTTGTCTTTCTCTGTGTATGTTTAATACTTAATCAGGTGTTCTCTTTGTGGTAGCAAAATGGCCACAGTTGCTTTAGGTTTGTATCGTATTTAGTGTTGACATTACGTCAATTACCAAGAATAGGATTCTAATCACCCTGGTTGGTATACCTGTTAGTTCTGAATCAATCACAGTTTCCAGGAGTAGGTGATAAACAGATAGGCCAGTGTTGGTCACTTATGGTAATATAAGCAAGGCAATATTATCGATATTCTTACTGTGGGTGAAGGATCGATGCAAAGTATAGTGTCCTAAAGCAAGAGAAGGGCTCTGTCTTCACAACAAAGGGGAAAGTGCTAAGTATACAAGAACAACAGTTGTGCCCAACAATTCAATGAAATTTCCTCAAAGTACACTAGTGTTATGTATCATTAAGTTCTAAATAGTAAGCTTCTATAAAAATCAGTTTCATCAACTTTTAGTCATACTGAGAGGTGACAGCATGCTGGCAGTCGTCAGAGCCCTCACTTGCTCTCGGCACCTCCCCTGCCTGGGCTCCCACTTTGGCGGCATTTGAGGAGCCCTTCAGTGCCCCCACTGCACTGTGGGAGCCCCTTTCTGGGCTGGCCAAGGCTGGAGCCCACTCCCTCAGCTTGCAGGGAGGTGTGGAGGGAGAGGCACGAGCAGGAACCGGGGCTGCGTGCGGCCCTTGCGGGCCAGCTGGAGTTCCGGGTGGGTGTGGGCTTGGTGGGCCCCGCTCTCGGAGCAGCCAGCCAACCCTTCTGGCCCCGGGCAATGGGGGACTTAGCACCCGGGCCAGTGGCTGCCAAGGGTGTACTGAGTCCCCCAGCAGTGCCGGCCCACCGTGCTGTGCTCGATTTCTCGCTGGGCCTTAGCTGCCTTCCCACGGGGCAGGGCTCGGGACCTGCAGCCCTCCATGCCTGAGCCTCCCACCCACTCCATGGGCTCCTGTGCGGCCGGAGCCTCCCCGACAAGCACCACCCCCTGCTCCACGGCGCCCAGTCCCATCGACCACCCAAGGGCTGAGGAATGCGAGCTCACAGCGCAGGACTGGCAGGCAGCTCCACCTGCAGCCCCGGTGCGGGATCCACTAGGTGAAGCCAGCTGGGCTCCTGAGTCTGGTGGGGAGTGGAGAGTCTTTATATCTAGTTCAGGGATTGTAAATACACCAATCAGCACCCTGTGTTTAGCTCAAGGTTTGTGAGTGCACCAATGGACACTCTGTATCTAGCTGCTCTGGTGAGGATGTGGAGAACCTTTATGTCTAGCTCAGGGATTGTAAATACACCAATCGGCACTCTGTATCTAGCTCAGGGTTTGTAAATATGCCAATCAGCACCCTGTGTTTAACTCAAGGTTTGTGAGTGCACCAATCGACACTCTGTATCTAGCTGCTCTGGTGGGGCCTTGGAGAACCTTTATGTCTAGCTCAGGGATTGTAAATACACCAATCGGCACTCTGTATCTAGCTCAAGGTTTGTAAACACAACAATCAGCACCCTGTGTTTAGCTCAAGGTTTGTGAATGCACCAATCCACACTCTGTATCTAGCTGCTCTGGTGGGGCCTTGGAGAACCTGTGTGTTGAGACTCTGCATCTAACTAATCTGATGGGGAGGTGGAGAACCTTTGTATCTAGCTCAGGGATTGTAAACGCACCAATCAGCGCCCTGACAAAACAGGCCACTGGGCTCTACCAATCAGCAGGATGTGGGTGGGGCCAGATAAGAGAATGAAAGCAGGCTGCCTGAGCCAGCATTGGCAACCCGCTCGGGTCCCTTTCCACACTGTGGAAGCTTTGTTCTTTCCCTCTTGCTACTGCTTACTCTTTGGGTCCACGCTGCTTTTAAGAGCTGTAACACTCACCGTGAAGGTCTGCAGCTTCACTCCTGAGCCAGCGAGACCACGAACCCACCAGAAGGAAGAAACTACGAACACATCTGAACATCAGAAGGGACAGACTCGCGACGCGCCACCTTAAGAGCTGTAACACTCACCGCGAGGGTCCGCGGCTTCATTCTTGAAGTCAGTGAGACCAAGAACCCACCAATTCCGGACACAATACCCCCTAAATCTTGGCTTAATCAATTTCCTTCTCCCTCCCTTTCTCATATCAATATTGTTTGTGTTCCAAACAATAGCAAGAAGATAATAAGATGAAATCCAAGCGTATCAGTTTTATTTGCCCCTTTCACTCATTGGTAAAATGGACAAGTGGGTAAATTAACATAAATTAACATGTAAAGATTTAGTTACGAAGTATAAAAAGTACTATGAAAATGTAACAGGGTAAAATAATATAGGAAAGTATGTATCCTATGTGTAAGAAAGACTGCTAAGGGAAAGTCTCTTAAACATAAAAAAATAACAATAAGATGCTATAGGCCTGGCGCAGTGGCTCACGCCTGTAATCCCAGCACTTTGGGAGGCCGAGATGGGTGGATCACGAAGTCAGGAGATGGAGACCATCCTGGCTAACACGGTGAAACCCCGTCTCTACTAAAAACACAAAAAAATTAGCCGGGTGTGGTGGCACGCACCTGTAGTCCCAGCTATTCGGGAGGCTGAGGCAGGAGAATGGCGTGAACCCAGGAGGCAGAGCTTGCAGTGAGCCGAGATCGTGCCACTGCACTCCAGACTGGGCGACAGAGCGAGACTCTGTCTCAAACAAACAAAAAAATGCTATAAAGTCAGTGTTTCCCTACTTAATGCATCATGTTACTCATAAGAAAGTGATTAACATTTTATGCGCACTGTGATAAACTGACAAGAGAGCCAGCTCCCAGAGGCAGGCCTGGAGGAGGCAGGTATGGGAGGTTCTTCTTGACCAGCTGCAGGTCTGACAAATTACATCAGTTGGGAAGCTCAGTGTTGACATCTTGTTTGAAATATTCAAGCAGAAAATCTGGGAATGAGGTGAGATGTCAAATAAAGGTTGGTAACCCAATAAGCAAAAGTTTTGAGAAGGACAAAGTGTATGAGATTCAGAACACAGACCGCTTTTGTTACAAGAGGGAGAGGATCAAAACAGATGAACTCATATTTGAAATTTTGGTGGTGGGAAAATTAAGCAGTTTTCAAGTCCTCAGGGAGTTTGGCCACTTTGCAGATCCTCAAGGCACACACACAAAAATCCTGTTTTTTACTTATCATTGGATTTTAATAATAGCATAGATCATCATTGGGTTCTTCAGAATTAATGTACTTAATATGATGGTTGATATTGAGTGTCAATTTGATTGGATTGAAGGATGCAAAGTATTGTTCCTGGGTGTGTCTTTGAGGATGTTGCCAAAGGAAATTAACATTTGGGTCAGTGGACTGTGAAAGGCAGACCCACCCTCAAATCTGCGTGGCACCATCTAATCAGCTGCCAGCACAGCTAGAATAAAGCAGGCAGTAGAACATGGAAAGATTAGGCTGGCTTAGTCTGCTGGCCTCCATCTCTCTCCTGTGCTGGTTGCTTCCTACCCTTGAACATGGGACTCCAAGTTCTTCAGCTATGGGACTCAGACTGGCTATCTTGCTCTTTAGCTTGCAGACAGACTATTGTGGGACCTCACCTTGTGATCATGTGAGTCAATGCTCCTTAATAAACTCCCCTTTATATATACATCTATCCTATTAGTTCTGTCCCTCTAGAGAACCCTAATACATTAATAAATATGTATAGTATCTTTTTTAAAGGCATATGTACTTTATCAATTCCACTGGACTTTTTCAAGGAAAAATAAAAATACAAACACTATTTATCAGCTATCATTATTTCTTTCAAAGTAGTCTTACTCTTAAGTGTCTGAATAACAATAACTTTAGAAAATCGGTAATGTTTATCAAGGCTCACCATATATAGGTACAAAGGTATATTTTATCATAATAAATGGCATCTACTAATTAGTTAAATATTCTAATTAAAGTACACTGGATACCCTTTATATATAAATGGGTTGTTGATAATTAAAGAAAAAACAATAGATCCCTTAACTTCTAAAACTTTATTAAATCAATATTCATTTTCTGTAGACAAGAAGATATTTCAGAGTCTTGTAATTTCTCAATATTTCCATTGTGAATTTAAATTTCCATCATATTATACATATGGAGTTCCAGTTAACTGAATATCTCAATTCATGAAATTTCAAGTAAAAGGATTTAATTGACATGACATCTGAAATTTAATTAACAATTTTAAAAACAATTACTTTTGATATATAAATAGTCTTTCCAATAAGCCCTTGTTATAGCAAGTGGTAGGTGAAGAAATGTCTCATTTTCTTTTAAAAACGATTACTTCTAGAACAGATAATCTTGTTCCATTTATGGAGACTGACTTTTTTACTCATTCAGAATAGTAAATATGCTATTTTCCAAGCTCTGTTTTAACCAGAGTTGTTTCAACATGAACAAGAAAAATAGAGTCTGCTCACAAGTAGTTTCTAGTCTAGTGAAAGTAGAGAAGGAAATATGAACTATGAATAGGTAGAGAAATAAAAGAATTTTAAGTAGCATTCGGGAATATCAAGATAATATAACAGACTAATATGTTAGAGAATAATAAAGTAGGGAAGGAATCACAATAATTGGTTGATGGTCTCTTTATGGGCAAAAGGTACTGAAATTAAGTGATCACATATAGGGTGTTCGTCTAGGGTTTTTAAAATTATATCTCAAAAAGTAACCTATTACAAAAACAAATTGTGAGTTCATTAAATACCTACATATTTATGTGGGCACTTTAATCTCTGTGGAGTAAAGATTATCGAACTGGAGATAACTATTGTTTCATACATTGGTTAGGCAGATAGAATAATTTGAATAAGAAGAAATTCAAGTGTGGTTTC
Organism: Homo sapiens; assembly: GCF_000001405.40. Taxonomy (NCBI): domain Eukaryota; kingdom Metazoa; phylum Chordata; class Mammalia; order Primates; family Hominidae; genus Homo; species Homo sapiens. The sequence goes on along the minus strand of NC_000004.12, from coordinate 91,214,161 downwards.
TCACTGACTCTTGCCTTGTTACCTGCTCTTCTTTAATAACTCTGGCAATCTTTTTGGTGACAGGAGGGAGGCAAAAGGCACAGGAGTGAAATTTATGTTCTCTTTTCTAATTCCAGAGAAAAGACCCCTATTCAACCCACATATAAGGTCTAGTTCTCTAAGTAGAGGAAAGGTTTTATTTATAACCCAAACAGACAAAACTTGTCTGGCATTTCCATAAATATAGGAATGTTGTTGCATGAGACAACATAACAAGCACAGTAATAACAGTTAGGGCTTTTCCATGGAAGAATCCACAACAATGTCGTGGTCCAGAGGGTGGAGAAAACATGACATACCAACCCACCAGTGATATAGGGAATAGGGGTGAAGCTCAACATCAGGTTTAGAAACTTGAGTTTCTTGACTTTATTAAAGGATCCCGTGTCTATTGCTACAATGACTTTATTGTCAAATTAATTTTGTAAATCCAAGTTGTAAATTCATTCTACAATTTTTATACTTCTTTGATTTTGCAGTTGAAAGTTGATCCTTAAATCAAATTTGTCCATTCTCCTCCCCACAAAAGCCTTGTGGACTTCTAGAAGCCTGCCACTTAAAGTGCAATGTCTACTTTACAGAGGACAAACATACTTCATTATTTAGCCAGAGGACAAGCATTCTTCATTATTTAGCAAAGAGTTCATTTGGAATGTTTACATGAATGGATGTTACCATTAACTTTTTTTTACTATATCACCATAAAACAACTTTGTAGACTTGAAGCTGGGAGACCTATTTTGGTAAAATTGTATGCTCCAAAGTAGACTCTAGGTTCTGTGAAAGCAGCACTACATCTCTGTTTTTCCCAGTACCCAGACAAGTCCCTAGAACAAAACAAAGTTAGATATTCACAAATAGTGAATAAATAAATGTACAAACATCCATATCAAAAGTTGAGACATTACATTAAAAAAAAATTCACTTGACGTAATGATCTCCAGTTCCATTCAAAGACATGGAATCAACCAAGGTGCCCATAAACAGTGGATTAGATTTAAAAAAGTGGTGCGTATATGCCATGTAATACTATGTAGCCATAAAAAAGAATGAAATCATGTCATTTGCAATAACATGGATGCAACTGGAGGCCATTATAGTAAGAAAATTAACACAGAAACAGAAAACAAACTACCACGTGTTCTCACTTATAAGTGGGAGCTAAATATTGAATACACATGGACATAAAGATAGCAACAATAGACACTGGGGGCTATAAGAGTAGGGAGAGAAGGAGGTGGGCAAGGGCTGAAAAACTACCTATTGGGTACTATGCTTACTACCTGTGTTATGGGATCATTCATATCCCCAAACCTCAGCATCATTCAATATACCCATGTAACAAACCTGCACATGTACCTCCTGCATCTAAAATAGAAGTTTAAATTATTTAAAAAAGGAATAAAAATTTCATAAAAAATACTTCAGTTTCTTTGTGGGTTAATTTAAAAGCTCATGTAACATTCACTTTTTCTTTTACCCTCACAGTTTCTCCAAAATTAAATATTAGAAGTTAGAACTGGAATGCTTCTTTCCATTTAATTCTACATTTTTCCCTCTTGCTCCATTAAAATACACTGTCCTGATGGTTTTGAATTCCCAGACACAGGTGGCATTCCTGCTGACATATCAGTAGTGAGAACAGTGCATCAGTCACCAGAAAATTATATCAGACATACGCTAGAACCACTTAGCAGCTGAAACACTGAGGGATGGCATTAGAGAGGAAAGATGAAAAGGACTGGCAAGGGGAGAATGTGGATGCATCTCCACATTCCAAACCACCAAGGATCTCAAAAGCAGCTCGGCAGGAGCTTAATGGAGCACAGCTCAATTTTACAATTAAGAACAACTGTTTTCAAACGAGCCCTAGAATAATGATTAGGCATACTAAATAGGGAATATAAAGTTGGATTAGGAAGGAAGGCATTGAAAAAGTATGTTCTGTTCTAAGCAACAAGAACACTCACCTCTCTGAGGTGAATACTGTACCAAATGCTTTTATCTAAAATTTTAGAAACACGGTCATAATTTAAGGCAATGTTCCCAGACCAAGGAGGTATTAAAAATTTTTACTGTTTTTTCATGTTTTGAATGCAAGCAAACTATGTCAAATGTGCATAACTGATGAAATTTGAAAAACCTGTTAGCCACTGCCACAAATTTCAATGGTAATCCTTGGTGGCATTTTATATATTTCTTCCATTTCTCTTCCACAAATTTTTTTAAACTAATAATTTCTTTAAGAGTTTGTTAGAGATCTTTGGAGGTATCACACAATGTTTTTTCTATCACTATTTACTACTGATAATAGTGACTACAACAATATTTAGCTCAGTGCTAATCACTTTGTTTTAAATTAATCCTTTCACAATTCTATGAAGTAGATATTATTATCCCTCATTTTATATGAGGATATTGAGAAAGTAACTTGTCCAAAATTATCATTGCCCAAGCTAAAGCTAAAGTCATTTCTAATACCATAGTACTTACTCCAACCACTATGCTATGTTGCTTCCCACATGCGTACTGACAGAATGTAAACTGTAATAAAATTGTCAAGGTTTTTATAAAAGACATAGTCCTATAACTCATGAATAGTTTATTTCTCAATAATTTAGATTATTTTCAGAACACTTTTGCAGTATTATCATGCCATTAAGATGAAAGCAGTAATACCAGAAGAGGAAAATGTACAAGTTAAAGACAACTATATTAATCAATGCCTCTAGGTCTAAGAACCTTTCTCAAAGCTTAAAGTCATCCCAAGCCAAACACTGTCTTTCCTACACACTCGACATCCAGCAAGTATTGTGGGTTATCATTTCAAAATATAACTCAAATCCAACAGATTCTCACCACTTGCTCCGTTATATCCCTAGTTCAAGCCACCATCATCTTCCTCTGAATTATTGCTATGGCATCTCAATTTGTCTCTTGGTTTTTTACCTTTGCCCATTCTCTATCTTCACTCCGAGTACCTTGTCTACATATCAGCCACCGTGTTCGTTTGCAAACATAAGGGAGATCATTTAATCACTTGAGCAAAATCATGAATCATTTCCCAATATAATTTGTTTTTTATTCATTTTGAAACAAACTTAAACTTACATAAAATCTTCAAGTCCAATACTAAGAATAATATTTTTCCTAAACCATTTTAGAATAAGTTGTCAACCTGATGCCCGATCACACCCGAATACTTAGTGTGTATTTCTAATGCAGAAAAAAGACATTATCCTATGTAACTACAATAAAATCATCAATATTAACAACTTCTTATGTGACATCGGCATTACTATCACCTAATCCTCAGACCTCTTCAAGTTATACAGACTGTCTAAATAATGTTCTTTACAGCAAATGGATTCAGCTGAGGAAATTGTAGTGCATATAATTGTCATTTGTCTTTTATCTTCTTCAATCTACAGTAGATCCTCAGTTTTTACTTGAATTTTATATCCTTAACATTTTTGAAGATTTTGAAATTATTTTGTAAAATGTCCCTTTATTTGGGTTTGAATTATGTTTTATTGTATTCATATTATGCTTATTTGGAAGGAGTATTAAAAAAAAAAATCACAGTGTACTGTCACCTGCATCCAGTCAGGTAATTTTGATTTGTCTCACTTCCAATTGTGTCAGTTTGATCATTTAATTAACTTCTTCATAGTACTGTAACTCTTTTTTTATTAATTGTCCAATTAATAAGTATTTTATTGGGAGATACTTTAAAGCTATGTAAATATGACATCCCCCATCAAACTTTTAATTTATTCCTTTATTTACTGATAGCAGCATAGATTCATGGTTTCCCATATCTTCAATGGGTTATAATGTTATATATATAAATAATGTTATATATAATATAATAACAGGACTTTACATATAACACTATAACCCATTGAAGATATATAATTTATAATGTTATAAATAGCATTTGTTTAGGTGCACAATGTATTCCGTATTTGGCAAGTGGGAATCTTTTCAAGCAGGTTTTTAGGTCATCTGATATGTCTTCATCATCCTTTGAGCACATCTTCACTTGGTGACATAATAAGATATTCCAGATTCATCTCGTACTTTCCCTACCCTAGCCCTAGAGTAGCCCATTTCCTCAGTAAGCCCTTGTTTATTTTAGTAGAGAATAGAATTTAGAAGCTAAGATCTGGGTGGTAGGTATGCTCATTGCACTGAGGCACGCTGTTTCTAATCATTCTCAGTAGGCAGAATATAGAGTATATGTATGTAGGTATGTGTATTTGTACACATACACATCTATATAAATATTTTGCTTGGAAGCATACATCCTCCCTAGACTGAATTGGGGAAAAAAAATGAATCCATGAACAGACCAATAATGAGCTCTGAAATTGACTCCTCCCCAATTCATTCTACGAGGCCAGCATCATCCTGATACGAAGTTATGGGAGAGACACAACAAAGAAAGAAAACTTCAGGCTAATATTCTTGATTAACGTAGATGCGAATATCCTTGACAAAGTATCAGAAAACCAAATCCAGCTGCACATCAAAAAGCTAATCCACCATGATCAAGTAGGCTTTATCCCTGGGATGCAAGGTGGGTTCAATATATGCAAATCAATAAATGTGATTCATCGCATAAACAGAATTAAAGACAAAAACCACATAATTATCTCAATAAATGCAGGAAAGGCTTTCAATAAAATTCAACATACCTTCATGTTAAAAGTCTTCAATAAACTAGGCACTGAAGGAACATACCTCAAAATAATAAGAGCCATCTATGAAAAACCCACAGCCAACATCATACTGAATAGAAAAAGGCTGAAAGAATCCCCTTGAAAACTGGCACAAGACAAGGATGCCCACTCTCACCACTCCTAATCAATGTAGTATTGGAAGTCCTGGCCAGAGCAATCAGGCAAATGAAAGAAATAAAAGGCACCCAAAGAGAAATAAAGAAAGTCAAACTGTCACTGTTTGCAGATGACATGATTCTATGTTTAGAAAACCCCATAGTCTCTGCCAAAAAGATCCGTGAGCTGATAAACAACTTCAACAAGGTTTTGGGATACAAAATTAATGTACAAAAATTAGTAGCATTCCTATACACTAACAGCACCCAAGGCAAGAGCCAAATGAGAAATGCAACTCCATTACAATTGCCACAAAAAGAATAAAATACCTAGGAATACAGCAAACTAGGAAGGGGAAAAATATCTACAATAACAATTACAAGACACTGCTCAAAGAAATCAGAGATGACACAAACAAATGGAAAAACATTCCATGCTCATTGATAGGAAGAATCAATATCATTAAAATGGTCATACTGCCCAAAGCAATTTATAGATTTAATGCTATGCCTATCAAACTACCATTCTTCACAGAACTAGAAGAAATCTATTCTAAAATTCATACAGAACAAAAAAGAGCCTGAATAGCTAAGGAACGCCTTAGCAAAAAGAACAAAGCTGGAGGAATCACATTACCTGATTTCAAACTATACTACAGTAACCGAAACAGCATGGTACTAGTACAAAAACAGGCACGCAGATGAATGGAACAAAATGGAGAGCCCAAAAATAAAGCCACATACCTACAACCATCTGATGTTTGACAAAACTAGCAAAAGCAAGCAATAGGGAAAAGACTCCCTATTCGATAAGTGGTGCTCAGAAAACTGGCTATCATATGTAGAAGAGTAAAATAGGACCACTTCCTTACACCAAATACAAAAATCAACTCAGGATAGATTAAAAACCTAAATGTAAAACCTAGAAGTATAAAAACCCTGGAAGATAATCTAGGAAATACCATTTTGGACATAGGAACTGGCAAAGATTTCATGACAAAACCATCAAAAGCAATCGTCAACAAAAGCAAAATTGACAAATGGGGCCTAATTAAAGCGCTTCTGCACAGCAAAATAAACTATTAACAGAGTAAACAGGCAACCTACAGAATTGGAGAAAATATTTGTTGTGAACTCTATATCTGACCAAGGTCTAATACCCAGAATCTGCAAGAAACTTAGACAAATGTATAAGCAAAAAACACACAACCCCATTAAATAGTGAACAGAGGACATGAACAGACACTTTTAAAAAGAAGACATACATGTGGTCAACAAGCATATGGAAATACAAACAACATCACTGATCATTAGAAAAATGCAAATCAAAACCACAATGACATACCATCTCGCACCAGTCAGAACGGCTGTTATTAAAAAGTCAAAAATATCAGATGTTAGCAAACTTCAGAGAAAAAGGAACACTTATGCACTGCTGGTGGGAGTGGAAATTAGTTCAACCATTGGGGAAAGCAGTGTGGCAATTCTTCAAAGAATTAAAAGCAGAACTACCATTTGACCCAGCAATACCACTACTGGGTATATACCCAAAGGAATAGAAATTGTTCTCCCATGAAGCCACATGCACATGTATGTTCACCGCAGCACTATTCACAGTAGCAAAGACATGTCATCAACCTAAATGCCCATCATTAGTAGACTGGATAAAGAAAATGTGGTACATATACACCATGGAATACTCTGAAGCCATAAAGCAGAATGAGATCATGTCATTTACAAGAACATGTATGGAACTGGAGGCCATTATCCTTAGCAAAGTAACGCAGGAAGAGAAAACCAAATACCATGTGTTCTCACTTAAAAGTGGGAGCTAAATAACGAAAACACATGGACAGAAAGAGGGGAACAACAGACAATGGGGCCTACTTCAGAGAGGAAGTTAGGAGGATGGAGATGTTCCAAAAAAAAAGAAAAGAAAAGCAACTGTTGGGTACTATGCTTAATTATGCTTAATGCCTGGGTGATGAAATAATTCGTACACCAAGTCCACGAGTCACAAGTTTACAAACCTGCACATGTACACCTGAACATAAAATAAAAGTTAAAATATTTTAAAGGAAACTCTTAATTGTTCCTTCTCTCATAATTAATAGTCAATGCTGTCTCACCTTCTTCTATCCAATGATATATCAAACTATTTACATTCCTAATACTCATTATGCCACCATGCTTTACATAACGTTGTTTCCTTTATTTAGAGCATCCTTTCCATGGTCCATCTTATATCTTTCAAGTAAGCATCCATGCAGTTACCTAATTTTCCTTTCTGGACAGAGACAGCTGAATGACCAGAATTTCTTACAAGCAATTAATTGTTTGGAACTTAAAGGTGAGTACTACAATGTCTAAGATAGGATATAAATAATGCCCAAATAGTTGATTCCAGAGATTCATGTACAAAACATATACCAAATCAAAAATAATTCAGCAATCTCTCAAGGTATATGCAGAGTAAAGTAGAGGTACTTCTCGTATCTCTTGTGAAACAGGACAGAGTCTGGCTGTCTACTATGGCCTTTGTTACCAATATTTCTTGCCTCATGGGGTATCATTGTGACCAGATAGATATACCTGTGCAGGTGGCTTCCTGAAACAGGAGCTAGAGTCTTTCAGAGTGCCTTTCAATCTGCCAAAGTTACCTGCTAATCCCCAGCCCTTCTGGCCCCTTACACTGTTTTACTATTAGAATTTCAGTTCCAAGAGGGCAAGGCCTTCTCTATATTGTTGTAATTGTATTCAATACATATTTTTTGAAAAATAAACAAATATCTCTATACTGGCCAAGGCCTTGAGAGTGAGATTTGGCCTTAACCTGCTGTGCCTTTTTACTCTACAAAAACCCCATCTCCAAAGAACATTTTCCTCGCTTTTCAGCGCCTTGAAGGCAGAGGAGGCTAATTGCATTTCAGAAACACAAAGACCAAGTTATTCATTAGAGGTCAGGATGTTGTTAAGCATACAAGAATGCCTACTGAATCCCTTGGGTGGATGTGGTTATAAACTTGTGAGTCTTTTCTTCTCTTGATGGAGCAAACACAAAAATATACCATTTAATCTTCAAGGAGTGTTAAAAAGCAACAGAAAAATTATCTTATTTATTCAATGGACAATGCTCTCTCTTCATTCCATATTTTCATATGTTGTTCACTTCCCCGAACATTCTGGATTCATCTTTTTCACGTTTCAGTTTAAACATAACTTCCACAAGGTACTTTACTTGGATGTCTGTATTAGCTTACGCATCTTTGCTTTATTTTCCCTTAGCTCTCTGCACTTCTCATATTGTAAGATGTTACTTTACTTTTATTATTTATTTAAAGACTGTCTTTATTGCTAGGGCTCCTGTTGATCTTGTTTCTTGCTCTATTCTCAGTACTTTTCACAGCGTCTTGTACAGAGCTGTGCTCAATAAATATTTGTTATTTATTGAATATTGAATAGTAAAATGTCTAATGATCTTTTAAAAAACGTTTATTTTTATATGTCCAGAGCCTCAAAATGACAAAAAATAGAGAATGTAACATGAGTCAGTAGAAAGGGAGGCCAGGTGGGAATGAGGAAGGGAAGGAGGAAAGAAAATGAAGGGAGGGTAGGAGGGAGGGAGGGAGGAAAGCAAGGAAGATAGGGAAGAAGGGAGGGAAGGAGGAAGGAAAAGAAAGCAGTCAAGGTATAGATTTTGGTAAAGGAAAAGTATTAGTGAAAATTTAAGAAGAAAACTGAGACTCTCTTCAATGTCCCATCATCAATTTACATGGTAATGATGAGGGTTCTTGTCACTAGCTGTTTTAAACATCACTCATGTAAAATGAACTTAAATTTTACTGACCCCAGGTTAAAGAGACATGAATTGTCTGTAATTAAAGATAATATTTATAAGTATTTCTAGTGGTACTTGAAATATATCAAAGAAACTGATACTTATTAACAATAATTGAGGTCACGTATTTCGTCCTGAAACAATGTGTGTGTTCATTAGACAGTACACAGCTTAAATACTTTTTAATGACCAAAACTGTGAGCTAAAGATTTTAATTTGATATTGATTTAATATTGAAGAAAAAATTTAATTACTAACTCATGTCAAGTATATTCAGAATATCTCAATAACCTATTTAAGAGTCTTCAAATTTCATTATTAATAAATATTTGCATATTGGATTTCAAAGTAAATGATCTTATAAATCACAGTTAATTTTGAAACATGTTTATGTATAATAATAACTATTGTTTTAATTTATCTGTGTGGAAAATTTAATGAGTTAATAATAATAGAGTAAGCAATATAAAGAAATGTTACATCCATATATAACTTTTTAAGTGCTGCATTTTATTGTTACTTAAAGATCATAAAAATGTTTAATTTCATTCACAAAAGCAAGTTATTTCCAAAGAAAATATTAATATGTAATTTCAATATTTTTCTTTAGTTATGATTTGTATCAAGACAACCCATGCTAACCTTTTTCATTAAGAAAATATTTCTGGCAACTAATAATAAGAAATATTGCAGGAGAAGGTATATGGTTAAATGATGTTCAGTTGAAGAAAAAGTAAATTCTACAAACAGCATAATGTCTTAATTTTAAGGGAACATGTTAATGATTAAAATAGTGATTTTTTTTCAGTTTATTTACTTGCACAAAAACCTAGTATAAAGCAAAACATTTATATCTTGCAAGATAGTTTTAAAGGCTTGATTAAGAGGAAATTAGCCAGAGTAGATGTTTGAGATACTAACTGAAATTGTTATATTTGGTTTCAGTTGAAAAGACAGTAACAAATACATACATATTTTGGGGGGTGGGATTTCCCCAAAGTAGCACATCAAAATGAAACTCCAGAACATATAGCAAAGCATGCTGAAGTTAAGGGCTTTATGTTCTTTCATGGCTTAATCAATTTCATTCGCCATTTATGCAAGCTCCTTGATGAGGTCAAAAGTCAGCCAAAAGGTCTCTGATCACCTCTCCCAGACAGAATTACATTCCCCCACATTTGTGTCTACATTGTGCCCTGTACAGCCTTCTATTGTTATTGTAGCAATGCTTTACTGCACTTATTTTTTAAGTCACCCCGTTGAGGACAGAGACCATTCCTAAGCTTTATAAAAACAATAAATGACTAAATTGTCTTATGTTGTAGAGAGTGGTAATAATAAACCTGTCTTGGCAACCATGTTATTTCTGGTTCAAATATTTAGTTATCTAACAATAGTTATAAAAATTATATCTCAGGAAACATTTAATGTCCTGAGTCACTAACTATATATTAAAATATTATAAAATGCCCAGAAGGCTTTCTATGCAGTTTAAAGTTATCAAACACTATTACTTCATAAACATATATTCTATGATTAGACACTAATCTTTTACTACTAATCACTATTAAACTCTCAGATCTAATGAACTGTAGATTCAACAGACAGTAATCAGTATGGTCAAAACACTGTAGACTATAGAAACTAGTATTGATTCTTCAGAATCTCACCAAATATGCCACTTGATTCAAAATATCTACATTTTCATCAGGTTTCTTCTCAGATATCACTTTATCACAAAGGTCTTTACTCTTCCACCCAGAAACTTGGTTCTCCTTTTACCCTGTTTTTTTTTAACATAGTATATATGCATTCATGCTTTAGCAGAGCATTCCTGTGTGTATACATGTGTGTTTATGCATGTATATACAGATCTATTTTACTAATCTATGTTTTACATATACACATACAGACACATGTATGTGTGTGTGTGTGTTTATTATCTATCTAATTCCTCTAGAATATAACCTCCATGAGGCCATTTTTTTTCTTGCTATAGTCCAATACCTGGAACAGAAGAGTAGTATTAGGCAATCAATACACATTTGTTAAATAAATACTGGTTACAATAAACTTTTAAATTTGTTTCAAACAGTAATATTTCCTAGCAACATTTATTTTTAAAACTCTTTGAAAAAAAATCTTTCCTTATTTGATAAAAGATAGTAGTCTGCCACATGAAAAAAAGCTCAGCATCACTGGCCATCAGAGAAATGGAAATCAAAACCACATTGAGATACCATCTCACACCAGTTAGAATGGGGATCATTAAAAAGTCAGGAAACAACAGGTGCTGGAGAGGATGTGGAGAAATAGGAACACTTTTACACTGTTGGTGGGACTGTAAACTAGTTCAACCATATTTCAATCAATTTCTTTGATTTCTTGGTCTACGGACAGTGACTACATTTTTATGAAGGTCAACATCAAATTCAAGGTCCATTGCCCTTTCTTGTAATAATGCTTTGAGATTTTAAGATATTCTTTAACAACAACATAAAATCTTTAAATACTTTAAAGAACATATTAATAAGATGAAAAAGAAATCATAAATCCTGAAAAACAATGTTGGATGTTTCATCACAAGTGCTAATTGCCAATGAAAACAGAATTTATAATGAATAAAAAGACAGTGTGTATATCTATACACACACACATATATATGCACACATATATATGAGTGTGTATATGTGTACGTGCATATATGTGTGTGTGTTTGTATTATTTAACATACTCTCAATTTCTTTGATTTCTTGGTCTACGGACAGTGACTACATTTTTATGAAGGTCAACATCAAATTCAAGGTCCATTGCCCTTTCTGGTAATAATGCTTTGAGATTTTAAGATATTCTTTAACAACAACATAAAATCTTTAAATACTATCCTGCCTCTTTCGGCAATCAATAAAAATCCTTGACATTGTGACAAAGGCTACTAGTTGCTTCCCATTAGCCATACTGTCCTGTCTTAGAGTCATGGAATATATACTTTTTCATAGAGGTTCCTAGAGGTACAGAGTAAAGACTACATTTCCTAGCTTCCATTGCAGCAAGGAGTGGCCATGATTCTAAGACGTGGACTAAAAGAGGGAGGTGGAAAGGACGTGTTTAACTTCCCTTTTGTGTGAGTGTGCTACAATGCCATCTTGCACCATGCAAATGGGGGCAATCCCTCAGCCCAGCAGAGTAGCAAGATAAGAAATACGAAGCTTGATTATTTTATAGGGCAGATTCTCCCCAACACTTTGGCCTTTTTTTTTTTTTTTGACAGTTATTTTAGATCACTGTCAGAACAGCCAAACAAATAACCTAATTAATGTAAGTAGGCACCTATAAAGATTAATATCTACATTAGGCATATTTCTATTGATTGCATTTATGAGACAAAAAAGTGCTAAAAGTGATATTGGAATAGCATTGGAACTGTGTCCTGATGAACCAAATGAAGTATAACTTGTGAAGACCAACTTCAGCAACTTTAGCAGAGTGTAATGTATCATTAAAAATTATAAATTCATGATTTGATAAACCATAATGGCCTATTGTTAATAACCATATTTGGCTCCTTATTGTTTTTATATTTGAGTCATTATGACAACTATGCTGGAATTTCATTATCCTAAAGAAAGTGCTTATTCTACTGATGTCATTTTGAAAAGAAATACTTATTTGCATCATAGCACTTATACCAGTCAACAATACCATTCCCCTTACATACATATGCCACCAACCAATACACTAAGAATATCAGAAATTCAGACGTAATCACATCTGTAATCCCACGATATTGCCTTTCTGAGGTTTACAACAATAGTCCAACTAATAGTAAACACTGGATATATTTTTGCAGTGTAAAATACAATTCTAGTATTTATTGTACTCCAAGATTTGACACCCTAGTGCAATCTGTAAATTTAAACCTGAATTTAAGACCTGTATAAATGTTCATTTAATTCATTTAATTCATCTCCTTCATTTACATCTGAAATAGTTGTAGGTTGTGTGACCCAGCCTTCAATCCCATATACTTCAGCATGTTAACATGAATCTTTCATTCATTTATTCATAGAAGTTGAGCTTATAGGCTTCTTTCATTCATTTATTCATGGAAACTGAGCTTATAGGTTATTTCTACATACAAAGTGGAAGATCTATTCTCACTCAGTTGTGATCAAGATGCAGGCCTAAGCCAGCCAGCTCCAGTACTATTAAATAGTAACTTGCTTAGCATTTCCCTAGAAATACAAATAAGTTGAATTCTTGCAATGTGTGTCATGTCCAAATAGAAATAGTTATGTAGGGAGCACCATTATATATGAGGATGCTGGAGAACAGCCACATGAGGAAATTGTGATAAAGATTCCATGAGACTGGTACCTATAGGGTTTAACACAGTCAGATACATAGTAAACTGTCAGAAAATGTTGGTTGTAAATTGTTCTTGATACTACTTTTCCTCTCCATTTAGCCAACCAGATATTTCTAAATACCTGAGAGATTTTTCAACTAGATTTTGTAAAAGACTACAATAATAGATTAATAAACAACATAACTTTATGAAATATGCATCATTTATTACACAATTAAACACAATCAAATACATTATAGATATGAGTATAATTAATGTATCTACATAACCACAATATGAATCTGGTATTAAAGAGAATTTAACATCTATATAGAGGCTTTTTATTTGGCATTGGAGTCTGTTAAATGCTTATTCCTTGCCTCTGTTCCAAACGCGTACAAATCATCCACTCTACTTGTTTCACATCAGGATAGTAAAATTACGTATCATAGATTACTTACTGATTGCAAAAAATAAACTTTTCTTTAATTGGTCAATTTTAATACATTAAAGTACCAAGTTTTCAGTAACAATTTTTAATTAAAACTCTAGCTTTGAAGGCTTCTATGTATTGAGTTACAAATCCACGTAAATGCTGAAGACTTCTAAGATGTGGCCCCCCACTACAAGTCAGCTATTGGTTTTTCCAAAATGCATTCTTTTCTGCCACCTAGGTCTGGGTAAAGTTGAAAGGTGAATACCACTTTGAATGGAAAGGGAATGGCTTCTGAATTGTTTCTGTAGAAATGTGTTTTATTCACTTCACAAAGGTATATTGTCCAAATGATCCATCCAAAAAAAATTTGTGGTAACAGTCAATTTAAATAATCAATAACATATAACTTTATTTGTTAAATATAAAATAATTTGAAAACAATCTTTCTTTTGAAAATTTAAGATTGACAAAAAAAATCAACTAAAAAGAATAGTGGCTGAAACTGAATAAAATAGCAAGAACTTCAAGGATATATTTGTCAAAACATTTTGAAACAATGCTCTCCATAGACACATTCATCCACTGTTTGCTGGAACATAAATTCCTCACTTAATATTATTGAGTCAATTTAGAATGACATCATTAAATATAGTTTTTTGAATGTTTTAATTAGTACTAAAAAAAGACAATTCTCTGAATCTGAAATATTTCTTTTTTCAATCCCTACCTTATTATGTAGCAGCTTTTTAAGATTTTAGGCTGACTTGAATAGCATGGTAAATTATCTTAAAACTGTGGAAAACTTTTTCATGTTCAGATTTTAAAAAAAAACCTATAATCACTGACATGTCCAATTTCTGATTTTTCAAATAAGATAGATTTCTTGTCTGCAACAATAAACATTTTAAGTAAAGCTAATCTTTAGGATTAAATACATTTATTTTTAAATGAAGCATTATTAATTTTCTATAATCCATATTAATGATTCTCAAACTCTTTCTATAGAAGCACCCTTAAAAACAGCAGAGTAAAACATTTTTCTTGAGGACATGAGCTTTACCTCATTAGCTCAAGACAAGCTCCAAATGGCTTGAAAATTTTGAGTTTTATTTTATATATTAATTTTAATTTTACCTTTAATGTCAATCATATAATCCTACAGTTTTGTCAGAAATACAAGGTCAAAAATGCATTCGTGCTAACTGCTTATTCTAAGAATTAACACTTTCTTGAAATTAGAAACTAAGAAATATAGTCATCTACATTAGATTCACTTTTCAAGATAAAATACAGTCAAATATATTTACATCTTTATACTTAAATTTTGCTCCCTGTTTGCAACGGACATTTCTTTTTAACTGGCCACCTTCTAATTACCATGCTTCCAGTAACAGCTTCAATTATTTTTTCAGGAGAAGGGAGTATCTATGCGACTTTCATTTTCAGTTTCTGTGCTTTGGGTGACAAGCCATCATTTCCTGCAAGTGTGGAACATGTGATATAGGCTAGAGCTAATAAACACTTGTTATTCCTCTGGCCTCAGTGATTGGTTGAGGGTTTGGCTTACAACCAAATGGATCTAATTAGAGTGAATTTCAGAATTTCATGGCAATTCTTTTTCAACTTAAACTTTGTAGGCTGTGAGACTGGAGATGCTGCAGCCGTCTTGCTCTTCGGAGGGAAGAGTGTGTATGAAGATGGAGCCAATGGAAAACAGAATAGAAAGAGAAAGGGAAAGAGAAACTTTTGATAAGATCATTAGCACACTTAAATACACGTTCACAACTGAAATCAGCATTATCTCTGGGCTTTTTCATTATTACGTCAGCAAATAAAAACCCTTTTGCTTAAACTCAGGCTAGAGTTCTTGTAAACTAAAAGTCTTAATTGGCATCTCATTTTAAGTGGATTTATTTTATATCTGGGGCTAATTTTCCACCACGTCCTCAAAACTTTGAAAAATAAATTGATACATCTTTTAGTACTATATGTATCCCCTGACTTCTGACATCCCTACTTTCTTTTTTCATCCCTATGGATCATGCAGCTCTATGATTATGTGATGTATATATCACAGATTCTATCCCCGTTACTACTCTTTCCTAAGTTTCTAAGAAATAGCCTCTTCCCTCATTTTCATTGAAGCATGAAAACTCTGAAATACTATATTCTACAGAACCCTCTCATTTATTGCAACTTTCCATTTGAATAAATCATTTTTTAATCTTTATGTTTTGCAACCCTGATGAAATAACTGCTTTAATCTCATTTGTTCTAAAATTAACACCATACTTTTTTTTTATTGAAACAGAAAATTTTATTTCAAACTCACTGAGACACAGTGTGTGGCAGTGAGTTATGTCACATTGTTGCACCTATGTGAAAATCTATTTTTAAAATTATATTTCTGGTGTGTCATCTCTAATAAAAAATCCCAAGAAGCTCTTTTTCTTTTCACTGTCTCTGCTTAAGAAAGGAAAGTAATGCAAAATGAAATAATGTATAAAGTAAAAATATGTTCAATTATCTGTCATTTGTAAATTAAGGAACTATGAAAATTAATGGTAAAACTCAATAACTTATTTAAAAGTAATGGCTTGAATTGATCTTTTAAAATGAAATTGTAAAGACAGTTTAGACTAAGCTTTACGGAATATTAGCTCTTTAACGTCCATTTTTAAGAATTATTCACTCATTTATTTAGTATAATTTTATTGCCTATAATATGTGAGCATTGTGCTATGGAAAACAATGGTGACAAAAAAAAAAGATATAGCATTTCCATTCATTAATTTTACAAGCTAGGAGAAAAGTCAAATACAGAAGCAATTATAACCAAAAAGCTGTGTGAATGTCAAGACTAAGAAAAGATGAGATACCATGGGGGCACGTATAGTGAGGTCTAGCCCAATCTAGGGGTTAGAGTGCTGCTGTCCAATAGAAATAGAATATGTAATATATTTGTAATTTTTAAATTTATAGTAGCCAAATTTTAAAAAGTAAAATGTAAATACATACTAGGATTAAGCAGTAACATCTTATACAATTCAACAGCTGAAATGAAATATAGTCTTCCAAGGCAGTACAGTTGTAGTTAACAAAAATTTTTACACTACTTCAGCTTTTAAATTTAAACAAACTAAAACTAAATAAAGTAAGAAATTCAGTTTCTCAGGCACACGAGCTACATTTAAGTGCCCAACAGTCACATGCGGCTCCACACTACTAACATATAGGGCAGGTTCAGGGGATTCTTTGAATTAAATATCTTAAATCCGTTCCAGAATGCCTTTCTGTAAAGCAGAAGTGAAAAAGCTTAAAATTCTATTTCCATGTCTTCCAAGATGCTAGGATGGGTCCTACCAATTAGATATATTCACATAAGGCTTCAATTGAGAAAAGCCTTATATGGGGAGAAAGCAAGGGCATCTGGCAGATGTTTAGCTGTCATGGATCATGGGAGAGGTTGTGTGGTTCTGAGGCCAGCAGCTTTGGTGGTGTTTCCTGATAATACAGATTTTTCAATATTGCTGAACGACACTGCCCCCTTGGCAATGTAGTTCTTTCATGTGTTTCTGGGAGGTATCCTCAAAAGGTCAGTCTAGAGTCAGCAACTTCAGCAAATCCCACATTTTAAAGGGTTATTACTACTTTAATAAATCTGTTTCTGTGTAAAATTGTAGGAGTAGATTTCTCTTTTGGAGCTAGCTCCCTGACCAATATAGGCACTAAAGAAGTCTTCTCAGATAACTAACTTTAAGCCTATATCTAAAGAGTAATAGTTGTCTGTAGAATAGTGATAGGCAGTAGATTTTAGATAACAGGAAATATTTAGGTATGCTGCTAAGTAAGAGTGAATGCTGGTTACAGGAGCCAAAAGAGTTATGTATGGTTAGAATAGCAAGGAAATGGTGAGATCAACCTGAATTCGATGACTCTAGCTCAATGCATTGAAAGCCACCTCACAAAATGAGCAATTCACTGAAAGGAACAAATCACCAAATGATCAATTTATCAAATTTATATACTTACCAACATCTGTTTCTTGTAGTAATTTATAAAGCTTACAGTAATGCCTAATACATGGATTAACAGAGTATGGGCAGGGGGGTTGTCATGACTGCGGATTTTTCTTTACAGAATTTAATTATCTTTTTCCTGCTTTCCTTTCTTTTTACAAAGAACATATTCATAAAAAGAACATGCTGTTTTTAAAGAAACAAATTCAATTTCTGACTCTTGTGGTGTTCTGTTTTGTTTAACAAATTGAGCATTTTTTTTTTACTCTTCCTTATTGAATACATCAACTATAATCAAGAAGAGTGTCTCTTAAGTTTTTAGTAAATTGGCAAATTTGGTGAATTTAGAAAATTGGAACATTCATTCTGAAGCTGCATTGACCTTCTTGGGCTAGAAGAGAAATGCAGTCTTTGAGGATCCATTTAAAGAAATGGGGCTTTGTCTTTTTTTTTTTTTTTTTTTGTCTCGCTGTTTGGCCCAGGCCGGACTGCTGTGGAGCAATCTCTGCTCACTGCAAGCTCCGCCTCCCGGGTTCATGCCATTCTCCTGCCTCAGCCTCCCGCGTAGCTGGGACTACAGGCGCCCGCCACCGAACCCGACTAATTTTTTTATTTTTAGTAGAGACGGGGTTTCACCGTGTCACGCCTGTAATCCTAGCACCTTGGGAGGCCGAGGTGGGCGGATCACGAGGTCAGGAGATCGAGACCATCCTGGCTAACACGGGGGCTTTGTCTTAATGGCAAGGTGGAGTCATGAAGAGTTGTAAGAAAGGGAACGGTGTGAATCACTGCAGAGTAAGAAAAAAAGTCTGCAGTGGAGCAACAAAGGCGTCTGAAGACTGCATGATCGTGTGGCCCTCAGTAATCCACGCAGAATGATGTGAGAGATAGATATGAGAAAGACAATCTTTGAATATTTTTCTTATATTAAGTATGAAGATTAAAAGTAGTTTTGTTTTTTTAAACTAATAAGAATAACTAAAATTGAAGCATTATGAAAATCTTGAGTAGCAGGGCACATGGCAAATAAAAGCAGTTTCAAGAAGGTTAAGCCTCTTCTGATTTCAGAATACAGCGTCTCATGAAACCAATTCCTTCCATCAGTTAATTGCGAATTATATTGGTATGATTCAAGTAGACCCTGAGGAAGGTTCTGTAATGTCATAACACTATTCCACAAAATTTCCCATTAAGTTAGCAAAGTTTGCTTACCTCCCGTCTCCTAACAGGTCTCTTAATCCAGCATTGTGGTTTCTAAATTACCAATACTTTATACATTAGACTTATACACAAATTAGAATTTACCAACAGGAGCTCTCAAATGTTTTTAAAACATTTTAATGTTGACTACAAGTTTCGGCAGAGCACATCCAATGATAGCTGCCTCCCCATGCACACATTTTGTAAAAATTTGAACTCCATTTTTACTAATTGGCATTTCAATGTTTTGAATCACTTAAACATTTGCATCAAAGTGAAGTGTTACTAGCTCTCAGCATGGACAACCTATTTCTATTCGTGAAAATCATTATTACTACTGGCCATTTACTGATGCTCAAAAACACAGACTTCAACAGCTAACAATTTATTTTAAAATAGTTCAAGTTTTATAATAAAGAAAATAAATATAGCTTCTTCAGGATCACTTTCTTCCTTCATATAATGATACTCAAGTGTTGTAAGTTCTCAGATAACCCAATTACTTTTTGTAAATAGGGCATGTGAGCTATTTTTTAAGGCAACAAAAACACTTAAAGATTTTCCTCTGTTAAAGACTCCAATTAATTACATAAATAGAAGTAAGCTATGCTTTTTACAGTGTGGATTGCACATTTGACCTTATCCTGACAAATATCATGAAACCTCATAATATGATGCATCACAAATTACTTTTCACCATGAAACTGTAGTCCATTTGCAAACAACCTCTCTCTTTCTGCGTGCATTTGTGTGTGTGTGTGTGTGTGTTCTCTACCATGTGCATTTGGTATAATGAAACAAAGGAAACTTGGAATGTTGGTGAAATTTATTTCTGTTTCACATTTATGTGACATGATTGACTGTGGAGCAATGCTATGACAATCAATAATTTTTTTTCTCAATTTTCCCATCCCAAATGCCACCTCTTTCATATGAAAACTTTTATGAATGTTATTATTAACTCAGATTTGAAATTCTTCTACTCTGAACCATTATTGTATCTATTTTTACTTCTTATTGGCATCTACTAAATTCTCCTTTGAACTAGAATTATATTTTGGCTTATCCTTAATTTTATAAGGACTGTCATCTACAGTGCCTAGAATAAAACCTTTCATGATGTTAATTTTAATATGTACTGTATAAATTGATTTAGAGTCAACATTACTTTAAAATAAGAATAGGGTCCAGGTGCAGTGGCTCATGCACTCTAGGAGGCCAAGGCAGGCAGATCACCTGAGGTCGGGAGTTCGAGACAAGCCTGAGCCATGTGGTGAAACTCCGTCTCTACTAAAAATACAAAAATTAGCTCGGTGTGGTGGTGCATGCCTGCAATCCCAGCTACTTGGGAGGCTGAGGCAGGAGAATCACTTGGATTCGGGAGACAGGGGTTGCAGTGAGCTGAGATCATGCCACTGTACTCCAGCCTGGGCAACAGAGTGAGACTACGTCTCAAAAACAATAAATATAAATAAATAAATAAGAATAGGAATCATATATGTGGGTTCTTGTTGAGTCAACGAAATATTGTCTCAAACTAAAACACAATTTTAAAACCCCTCTTACCCAAAACATAGCAATCATAAGGGACATCAGGCCATAGCATTTGAAAAAAAAAATCAATAAAACAAACAGGAAGATTTGAATTAGAAGTAAAGACATATAAGCAATGGGCATTCATTGTGTCCATATAAGAGTCAGGACATGAAAAGAATGACATAGAGTTTAAAATAGGGACTTAGAAGAATCTTTACAAGCTTTGACTGGTGGAAATGACAAGATCGAACAATAATAACCACAATAAGTGTTGTATTTTATATTCATGTAATATTTGTGTAGCTTTCATAGTGCTTTTGCTTTTAGTATTTTTGTACTTTACAGTAATGCTGATAAATATGCCCCCATTATTATTATAAATATATTTAGTATGAGGAGATTACGTAATTTATCTAAGATTATAACAGAGTGCACAGCTAGGACTAATCCAGGGTTCTTTCAATACTGGGAAGTGGAACTCTTCATTTTCCCTTTTCATCCAGCCTTTATGATGTTCACAATATTATGAACAGGAACAAAGTTAATTTTAATTTCCTGTGAATAAGTGATATACAACATAGGTCCTACTTCCAACATTTTAAGGAGAATTTAGTTACCATGGAACCAAATCATTGTGGGAAACTTTTGCTGTGGATTATAACTTTTTGCAAAGATAGGGCAGCAAGGAAAAGAGGCATATGCCTCTCTGGACAGAAACTTACTTAGATTCAAATAACCAAGCAACACTGAGGTAAAAGGCTCTGTTTTAGGTATTATAGATGAGCTAAGGATAAAATGCAGTAGGGTTGAAAAAAAAGACACAAATATTCATTACAAAACACATGTCAGTACAGGGAAAGAAAATGGGAGTTTTGCATGTATAGTTTGAGGAAGGATCGTAGACAAAGGAGGAAGTTAGCTAAGCTTTTGGAAATGTAAAGGCTGTGGGAGGTTGACATGAGGGAAATGACATTTCAGTCAGGAAAAACAGCTTGATCAAAAGATGAGGGCTAGATAGCAATATCATTTTTAGGATATAAATTTTACCAATATAGCAGAGACACTGAGTCTATTGTAGACATTACAAAAATTAAGGTTAGAAATTAAAAAATAAATAATCTGGATTTTATTTTGTAAAAACCAAAATTTTGACTAGGAAAAAAAATCAGCACAGCTTTGCTTTAGAAAGAAAATAAATGGATTAAAAGAAGACAGAATCTTTGTCAACAGAAGCAATCCAAATATAATGAGGGCTAAATCAAGGTTCTTCCAAGGAGAGGGGCAAAGAGGAAATGATATGGGAGATTTCAGAGACAGAAACAAGTTTTGTTACTAATAAGATGTGTGGGCAAAAAAGGAAAGAGAGCATTTGACAACTCTCAGTAAATGAGAACATAACATCAAGTAAAATAGATAATTTCCTAGGTGGAGCAGGTAGGGTGGACAAGCTCAATTTACATACTAAGTCTCAAGGGTACATTCAATCGACAGAGTTATCCTGCAAGGACTTTGAAATCTGAGCATGGTATCAAACTTAAAAAACAAACAAACATGGCTTGAGATTTGATGTTGGAAATCTGAAGAAATTAAATATGTGGAAGTAGGGGAATTTTCTTAAGGAATATTGTAAGATTATGGTGAGAAAATAGCCAAAGGAAGAATCAAGGAAAACAACCACAATTAAAAGGCAAGTCCATGGGGGGAAAAGTGGGGGCATAAAACTGGAAGGCAGTAGTCAGAGGTAGGAAAAGATTCAGGAGAGAAAGATAATGTCTCACAGGAAAGAATGACCAATGTCCTGTGTCACAAAGGGTCTCAGCAGGATTAGCAGTAAGCTTTTTTATTTGGTATAGTTAAGTCAATTTGCTGTAGAAGAAAACAGCTTCAAGTGCAGAAGAAACCTAGATGGCACCAAGTTAAAGGCAGAACAGAAGGAGAGGAGATGAAGCAGTGAAAATAGGCTACTTTTTCTTATTTCAGCCAAGGTTCTAGGCTGCAAGCAATGGAAAGCAACTCTGGCTGATTGAAGTAGAAAAGGAATTTACTAAAAGAAGATTGAGTAGTTATCAGAATTGAAAAGACTGGGTAACCAGTTCAGGGCCACGCACACCATGGTACGGATGCAACAAAGACACACTGCCATCACATTTCAGCACCAGATAATAAAGTTAGCACTTTCAAGCCAGCCAGCTCTGAACAAGGGATAGCACTGTTATTACTATTGTCACAGCTGCCCCTGAATTTCCCTGAAACTGTGGAACCTGCCTTGGAACCGACTGTGTCTCTGGAAAATGTACATCAGATTGATGGAGACTGGGTCATGTGTCCCCACCCTAGTAATAAAGGAGGCTAGGAAAGTGAGTATCTGGCATTTTCAGCTTATCTAGTGAAAATGGGAGATGCTCTAATACATAGAGCATCACTTATCAAAATTCATAAAGTAAGGTAATTCTGAAAAGTTAATAAGCAGGTTCGAAGGTTGGGCAGTTATAAGTATACACATGTTCAATATTCATCCAACAGTTTGGCCCCAGAAAGAAGAAAGCTTGATGCAGAAATCAACAATTTCTTTAGAACAGAGAAGGTTTAAATATAAGAACAGTCAGTGGAAAGGGAGAAATTGAAGATACAACAGAAATAGCAGATAGTTAATGACACTGGGCCTATGTATAATCAGGAAATTATGCTACTCAGAGCACAGGTAAGGCAGTTAGCTTTGAAAAGAAAGGAAAGCAAGAGAAGGGTAATTAACTTTTGTACAGAGCTTTCTAAATGAACTATGATGCTTGGCATTTACCTATAGTTTTACATTTATTCATCAAACAATACTATTAAGTATTAGACATTACATACTATCCAAATTAAAATGTTAATAGCATATGTTATAAAGCATCCATTATGTTTCAGACATTATTCTGATTAACTCATTTAATCCTGATAACAACCAGGTGGGCAGTGTTATTGACATTTTACAGGTGAGAAAACTGAGGTAGTAAAGTCTTCCTACATATCCATGAAGTTAAGTTCAAACCAAGTTTTACCTAATTCCAAGATTCCTTTTAAGGATAAAATAATAAGTAAATTAACAGACATTTAGAGGAAATGGAAGCTGTGAAAATAAGCTACTAATAGACAATTCAGGGGAATAATATTTTGAAACCGTAAGACAATGTACTTTTTATTCTCTGTAAATCACATTGACCTACACTTTCTCACCTTTTAACACAATGGCATTTATTTCTGTAGGAAAGGCATATGCATACAGTCTCAGAGAGGTCATTCCTTAGCTTTGAATCTGAATTCTTCCTCCAAATTTGATTCTTTTTTAAAGTCCTTAAAATACATCATCCTGAAAGTCAGGCTTTGTGGAAAAAAAAATTCTTAAGTTCAAAAAATTTCCTTTACATATCAAGAGCAAGGCTTAGATTGTCTGCATTTGCAGTTTTGTTATAAGACACAGTATAGAAAGGATAGAGGATATGATATATAAGAAGATAAGTAAGCTTTTGCCACATGGGAAGAGGAAAAGCCACTTTGGTTTGAAAGAGATTGCTGAGAATTGGAAGACATTAGAGCAGGGATAAGATGCTGCTAGATTCTCTGGGGTAACTAAAACTCTAAAAAAGAAACCTAATAATTGGAGATAAAACCAAATAACATGTATCTGGTTTTGTATCTAACTGAGAAAGTTTCCCTGAGATTGTACCGCTTGTCCATCCTAGTCATCTAAGAGATCCTGGTGAGGGAAACATGTTCTACATGAACCAATGGGCAGGAAGAGGATTTGGATTAGGATAAGGAAATCATGGAGTGCAGGCATCTAGTAAATTAAGGCTATAGCCAGGGCTACAGATTTCAACAGTGGTGCCAAAGAGAAATCCACAAGACTAGACAGGTACTGCAACATGCACTGACTGCATTAGCAACTCAGTGACTTGCTCATAGGACAGAAGAGTAAAATCCTTGCAGCAGACTCCTCTGCTGCTATAAGAAATACTCACTGTTTTAATAATCAAAATAATTTAAATTTATAAACTCAAATCTCTCAATTAAATGCAAATGTTAAATTATTATTCAAAAATTAAAATTCAAATAAATGTTCAATTTGTTTTCCATACATTAAAAAAATCCATATACCTATAAATGGTAAGGTTATATATGTAATATATATGCCTTTATATACAATATATATATAATCCTTTGGGAAGAAACAAATTATAAGTTGAAAAAAGAAAAACAAAACAGTACTAGCCAGATTGTATTTCTCCATGGTTCTCAGATATTTCATTTGGTTTCACAGAAATATTGGGCCAAGGACACCAGGATATTCAGAAAATTTTCAGTTGAATTTAAACACTTCCTACACCAACAACTTTAATTCAAATGAGGTCATACAGAATAACTTTCTCAACTATTCCCAAATTCAGGTTAGACAATGACTCCAGGCCACTGGAGACCAGATGCTACAGGAGGAGAATTATTAGCTTTATCACTAAGTAAATTTTCAGCATCTCCTGTCCTAATTAAGAATGAATACACCAGCATCAAAATAAGTACATTCATGTACTCTAAACCTGATTTTTTAGATCCAGGGCACAATACCTCTTAGAATACTTGGATTCTACCTAAATCAAATAAAGAAAAGGTAACAGTTATAAACATAAACATTTTTTGATGATGAAGACAAATTGTAATGAATGACCTGATATTGAGCTAAGGCTATGGTAAGTTTTAGGAACCACCTTTTACCTGCAAATTACCAAAATGTTTACTTTCTTTAAAAAAAAATCCATTAACATTTAGGCTCTCTAGAAACCCTACCTATAAGTCTAAAATCATTATATATACCGTTCGGGAGGTTTGCAGAGACCTAGAAAATTGAAATTTTAACATATTAGAATTCTAGCAGATTAGAATTAATTCTATTTATAACTCTTTTTTTCTATTTCTCTGGTAATTCCTAGACTCTTTTTGTCATGATTAAGTAACAGATCTTTCTTTCTGGAGGACATATAAATAGGTATGCTAGCACTAACTATCACAATCTTAATAATTATGGGTATATTATGATTTTTCTGACAGGCATATAGCCCAGTTAACATTTTGCTATGTCTACATTTTCTCAGTATGAGTATAATGCTTGAATCACAAAAGTATCAAGCATACAAGTAGTCAGATCATTCATTTGGTTAAGTAATATTTTTAGAGTATTTCCAGAATACCTACTCAACATCAGCTAATGACCTAGGACATACCAGCGAACATGACTGAGACCTGCTGCTATTCTACATTAAGTTCCAGGGTACACTAAATGGCATTAAAAAATATTTATCACTAATTATGAAAAGCACAATAATAACAATTTACTGAGCACTAGCTATTCCTGAAAATGTGTAATAATTGTAAGAGGTCAACTTTATCATATTTGCCCTCAGTGCTTCCAAACAAGATCTTACAGCTTTGAAAAATTTCGCAAAATAAAATAATAACAGTAGCAGAAGTTTTGAATAACTTAGTTTAAAATAAATTTAGGATACAATTGCCCAAGAAAATTAAAACGCCGTAACATCAATACTGAAAAATGACTACTACTATGAACCTCATATAGTATTGTTATAGACAATGTTTCCTGAAAACTGAGAAGAGAATAGACATTGGTAAGTCCTATAATTGAAGTATTAAAACAGAACATTTTCAAGTTTTACAAAGCACTTGAAATAGGAGACAAGTGATAAGTTTTATGCAAAGTTTACCCTAGCTGGTAGCTACAGATGAAGAATCGTGGTAGATATTTTTAATAAAATTTTTATAAATATTATTTATAATTGTTCCTTTTTAAAGCTTAGCTAAACAATTTTCTTTTAATCTTGGACTCTGGAACTGCTGTAAATATACTAAGATAATTCTGCATTGGGAAATCATAAGGTTACTATCATAGCAACATTTAACAAAAAAAAACTTCTCATGATTCAAAACATCTATTACATAAAATTTTCCTTCCTTTGCCTACTTGGATAAATTTCATTTTAATTTTATAAAAATAACCAAATTTCAGCTGGGCACGGTGACTCACGCCTGTAATCCCAGCACTTTGGGAGGCCAAGGCGGGTGCATCACTTGAGGTCAGGAGTTTGAGACCAGCCTGGCCAATGTGGTGAAACCACAGCTCTACTAAAAACACAAAAATTAGCCGGTCATGGTAGCAGCACGCTTGTAACACCAGCTTCTCATGAGGCTGAGGAAGGAGAATCTCTTGAACCCAAGAGGCAGAGGTTGCAGTGAGCCGAGATCGCATCACTGCACTCCAGCATGGGCGATAAGAGCAAAACTCCGTCTCAAAAATAAAAAATTAAAAAAAAAACAAATTTATTGATTTCTACATTCATAATTTACTTTTATTTCACAGAGTTTGTATTACCAAACAACCCTCTGGGGAAACATCTTAAGTTATTTCATACTTTGTTTTTATTTACTTACTTATGTTTATTTAAAAAATGAGAAATTTTATTTGGACGGCAATTTTGAAAATCTCTTCCAGACTTAAAATCCTATGATTAATACTACCCAGGTAAAAAGAAATGGACAGATATGTATTCAGTAAGAAAACTAGCAGAGAGAGGTGCCAAGATGGCCGAATAGGAACAGCTCCAGTCTACAGCTTCCAGTGTGAGCAACGCAGAAGTGGGTGATTTCTGCATTTCCAACTGAGGTACGGGTTTCATTTCACTGGGGCTTGTCAGACAGTGGGTGCAGCCCACAGAGTGTGAGCCAAAGCAAGGTGGGGCATCACCTCACCTGGGAAGCACAAGGGGTCAGAGAATTCCCTTTCCTAGCCAAGGGAAGCTGTGACAGATGCTACCTGGAAAATCAGGACACTCCTGTTGGGAGCAGGCCCCCCAAAATCTGGCCATAAACTAGCTCCAAAACTGGCCATAAACAAAATCTCTGCAGCACTGTAACATGTTCATAATGGCCCTAATGCCCATGCTGGAAGATTGTGGGTTTACAGGAATGAGGGCAAGGAACACCTGGCCCTCCCAGGGCAGAAAACTGCTTAAAGGCATTCTTAAGCCACAAACAATAGCATGAGCAATCTGTGCCTTAAGGAGATGCACCTGCTGCAGTTAACTAGCCCAACCTATTCCTTTAATTCAGCCCATCCCTTCATTTCCCATAAGGGATACTTTTAGTTAATTTAATATCTATAGAAACAATGCTAATGACTGGTTTGTTGTTAATAAATATGTGGGTAAATCTCTGTTTGGGGCTCTCAGCTCTGAAGGTTGTGAGACCCCTGATTTCCCACTGCGCACCTCTATATTTCTGTGTGTGTGTCTTTAATTCCTCTAGCGCCGCTGAGTTAGGGTCTCCCTGACTGAGCTGGTCTCAGCAAGTGGCGTCCATCACGGGGGCTCGAATCCAGGTCGAAGGATTGCCGGAGCGATGGTTGGAATGGAAAACTAAGCTGGAGGACACCCAAGTACTCTTAAAGCAATCCCTGTGGTGAGTAAGAAGGGGAGCTCGGAAGCATCAGGTTAATCATGGGACAAGTGTGGGGTCTGGTCCATTCTACCATGGAACTTTTTCACACTGATGAGGAGGAGGAAGGAGAGTATAGTGAAGTAACAGAAGAGGTTACAGAGCATGTTTATTTACCAGCTAAAGCAGCAAAGGAAGGAGAGGTTCATCCCTACCCTTCTGTAACCCCTCCTTATTATTTTGAAGAAAAAGACCCTCCAGATCTTTCTTTTCTGGAGGACACTGGGTGAAAAGTAGTTGCCCCAGTGACTGTTCAAGCAGCGCCTCGAGCGATCGCTCTTAGTTCTATTCAGGCAGGAATTCAGCAAGCTAGACGAGAGGGTGATTTAGAGGCTTGGCAGTTCCATGTTAGAATACACCCCCCAGATCAACAGGGAAATATTATGGCTACATTTGAGCCTATTGCTTTTAAATTCAGGAAAGCACATTTAGTTTATTATATCAAGGCCTGTGATGGTATCAGAGGTAATCTGCATAAAGCTACTTGGCTAGTACAGGCAATGGCAAGACTGAGAGTGGATAAAGGAAATACTCCATTTCCTGGAGCTTGTTTTAACTGTGGGAAGCATGGTCATACTAAAAAGGAATGTAGAAAAATTCAGAGAGTCAGGCCGCCAGATAGGGGAAAAAAGAAAACTGCTGATCCTGAAATATGTCCAAAATGTAGAAAAGGAAAACATTGGGCTAATCAATGTCACCCTAAGTTTGATAAAGAAGGGAACCTGATTTTGGGAAATGCCATGAGGGGCCTGTCCTGGGCCCCATTCTAAACCTGGGCATTTCCAGCTCAGGCCATTCCCTCATCCCCATACAATGTCTGTCTCCCGCCACAGCCGGTAGCACTGCAGTAGATTTATGCTGCACAAAAGCTGTGAGCCTTCTGCCTGGGGAACCCCCACAAAAGGTCCCTAACAGGAGTCTGTGGAGGACCCTTGCCAGCAGGGACAATAGGATTACTTTTAGGAAGGTCTAGTTTAAGTTTAAAAAGTGTACAAATACATACAGGAGTCATTGATTCAGATTATAATGGGGAAATTCAAATCGTTATATCTACTTCTGTTCCCTGGAAAGCAGAGCCAGGAGAGCACATGGCACAGCTCCTAATTGTGCCATATGTGGAAATGGGAAAAAGTGAAATTAAACACACAGGAGGATTTGGAAGCACAAATAAACAAGGCAAAGCAGCTTATTGGGTAAATCAAATTACTGATAAACACCCTACCTGTGCAATAACTATTCAGGGAAAGAAATTTAGAGGTTTGGTAGATACAGGAGTGGACATTTCAATCATTTCTCTACAGCACTGGCTGTCCACATGGACAATTCAACCTGCTCAATTTAACATAGTTGGAGTTGGTAAAGGCCCTGAAGTATATCAAAGAAGTTATATTTTGCATTGTGAAGGGCCCGATGGACAACCTGGTACTATTCAACCAATTATAACTTCTGTACCTATAAATTTATGGGGAAGAGATTTATTACAACAATGAGGAGCACAAGTTCTAATCCCAGAACAATTATATAGCCCTAAAAATCAACATACAATGCATGAAATGAGGTATGTCCCTGGTATGGAACTAGAAAAAAATTTGCAAGATTTGAAAAAACCAAGTCAAGGGGAAAAACAAAGTTCCTGCCAAAGATTAGGAAATAATTTTTGATGGCGGCCATTGTTAAGCCTCCAGAACCTATACCTTTAAAATGGTTAACAGATAAGCCAATTTGGATAGAACAATGGCTGCTAAGTAAAGAGAAACTGGAGGCTTTAGAGAAATTAGTTACTGAAAAATTAGAAAATGGGCACATAGCTCCAACATTTTCCCTTGGAATTCTCCAGTTTTCCTAAGAAAAATCAAGTAAATGGAGAATGCTAACTGATTTAAGAGCTATCAATTCAGTTATACAACCTATGGGAGCATTAAAGCCAGGATTGCCTTCTCCTGCTATAATTCCAAAAAATTGGCCTTTAATAGTCATAGATTTAAAAGACTGTTTCTTTACTACCCCTTTAGCTGAGCAAGACTGTGAATGGTTTGCATTTACAATTCCTGCAGTAAACAACCTGCAGCCTGCTAAGTGTTATCATTGGAAAGTGTTGCCACAGGGCATGTTAAACAGTCCCACAATTTGCCAGTCGTATGTGGGCCAAGCAATTGAACCTACTCCTAAAAAATTTTCACAGTGTTACATTATTCACTATATGGATGATATATTTTGTGCTGCCCCACTCAAGAAATATTACTCCAATGTTATGATCACTTGCAAAATTCGATTTCTTGTGCTGGTTTAATTATAGCTCCTGACAAAATTCATACTGCTGCACTCCTTACTCCTACTTGGGGACCTTAGTAAATGACACTACCATTGTGCCACAGAAAGTAACCATACGTAGGGATCAATTAAAAACATTAAATGACTTTCAAAAATTAGTAGGGGACATTAATTGGATATGACCTGCTCTAGGCATTCCTGCCTATGCCATGAGTAATCTGCTTTCTATCCTTAGAGGAAATCCTAGCCTTACTAGCCCTCGGCAATTAACAAAGGAGGCTGAGGTCAAGTTACAACCAATTGAAAAGCAAGTCCATAAGCCTCAAATAAATAGAATAGATCCAGAGCAGACTCCAGATTTGCTAATTTTTTCAACTCAGCATTCACCTACTGGTGTTATTGTCCAAGAACAGGACTTAGTAGAGTAGCTTTTTCTTCCACATACTAATTCACGGACTCTAACTCCTTATTTATATCAAATCGCTACTATGATAGGGATTGGGAGAACTCGGATTGTTAAATTACATGGATATGATCCTGGAAAAATTATTGTCCCTCTCACGAAGGCATAAATACAGAAAGCTTTTATAAAGCTTTGTGGGTATTGCTGATAATTTTCCTAAAACGAAGCTGTTTCAGTTTTTGAAATTAACTAATTGGATTCTCCCTAAAATAACTAAATTTAAACCAATTGAAGGTGCTGAAAATGTTTTTTACAGATAGGTCTAGTAATGGTAAAGCTTCTTATTCTGGCTCAAAAAGTAAAGTTTTCCAGACGTCCTATCCTTCAGCTCAAAAACGGAGCTTGTAGCTGTAATTGAGATATTGACTTCTTTTGCTATGCCTATTAATGTGATTTCTGATTCTTCATATGTGGTTCATCCCACACAGTTAATTGAAAATGCTCAGTTACTATTACATACAGATGAACAACTGATGACTTTATTTACCGAATTGCAAACAGCAGTTAGAAGTAGAATGCACCCATTTTACATCACTCACATTAGGGCTCATACATCTCTTCCAGGACCTTTGACTAAAGGGATTCAAAAGGCTGACCACCTAGTTGCTAATGCAATATCTAATGCTAGACACTTTCACAATTTAACCCATGTTAATGCCTCTGGTCTC
The DNA here is from genome assembly GCF_000001405.40 of Homo sapiens. Classification (NCBI taxonomy): domain Eukaryota; kingdom Metazoa; phylum Chordata; class Mammalia; order Primates; family Hominidae; genus Homo; species Homo sapiens. The sequence goes on along the minus strand of NC_000004.12, from coordinate 91,182,964 downwards.
AAACACAGATACAGCATTACCTGGAAAGAAGCTAAAGCTATTATACAGGGATGCCCAACTTACCAAATGGTACATGCCTCATCTTTTACAGGAGGAGTTAATCCTCGAGGACTGGAACCTAACACACTTTGGCAAATGGATGTCACACATGTTCCCTCATTTGGGAGACTAGTTTATGTACATGTAATGTGTGGACACCTTTTCTCACTTTGGGCTACACATCAAATAGGAGAGTCTTCCGCCTGTGTTAAGTGTCATCTTTTGCAGTTTTGTGGTGATGGGCATTCCAGCTTCTATTAAAACAGATAATGCCCCAGGCTATAATAGCCAAGCTCTAGCTATATTTTTCTCTATGTGGAATATTAAACACATTACTGGTATCCCATACAATTCTCAAGGACAAGCCACAGAGGAAAGAATGAATCTCTCCCTAAAACAGCAGTTGCAAAAGCAGAAAGGGGGAGATAAAATATGGAAGACCGCAGATGCAACTGAATCTAGCATTATTAACTTTAAATTTTTTGAGCCTGCCCAAAGGCCAGATGTTATCAGCAGCTGTACAGCACGTACAGAAACCAACTGCAAAGACAGAAGCAGAACAACTGATTTGGTGGAGAGATCCGTTAACAAAATTTGGGAAATAGGTAAAATAATAACTTGGGGTAGAGATTATGCTTGTATTTCTCCAGGCCAAAATCAACAGCCAATTTGGATACCATCAAGACACCTGAAAACTTATCATGAGCCAGATGCTGAGGAAGAGATTCCAGAAGGATCCCAAGGACCCTTCGGTTGCAGCATGTTGAGACTGACACTGAGGAGGACCCCAACTGTCATGAGCAACACCCATCGAACACAGCCACCCATCTGGGGACAGATCAAGAAGCTGTCACAGATGGTGAAAGACAACCTAACAAAAGTGGGACAACCAGTCACAATGAATAATTTAATGGTAGCTATGACAGCGGTTATCACCACTGCCATGAGTATTCCTTCAATAAGGACTGACACAGAGAACAATTATACTTATCGGGCATATTGATCAATCTTGGCTGGCAATAATGCCTGGATGCAATCACTCTATGACACAGTTACACATGCTTTCTGATCTCAGTATTTACCATAATAAATCTGCTCCTATAATTGAGGCATATCGCCCTCAAAAACCTATTTGTAAACAGGCTTGGACCCAGTTAGAAAAAATGAACGTACTTGTTTAGGAAGATCGCATTGCAGAACAGACAGAGGTGCTGCACAACAATTCCTATGGAATCATTATTAATTGGTCCCCTAAGGGGATGTTTAGCTTGACTTGCACCTCTCAGTCTGCGTGCCATGGCCACACTATGTTCAGATGATCTGAGAAAAATGGTCAGATGGTAGAAATGATGAGAAGTATGGCAAAAGTTCCTATTATCTGGAACCACTGTGGTATAGTGGCACCTCAACCTCAAATGATATGGCCTACTCTAGGAGCTTGACATAAGGATTTAAAATTAAAAGAACAAATATTTAAAGCATCCCAGGCACACCTGACCTTAATGCCAGGAACTGGAGTGCTTGAAGGAGTTACAGACAGATTAGCAGCTAGTAACCCATTAAAATAGATAAAAACACCTGGAAGTTCTGTGATTTCAATGATGATTGTGCTTTTAATCTGTATTGTCTTTGGGTAGTCTGCAGATGTGGATCCTGACTCCTGTGAGAAGTAGCTCACTGTGACAAAGTTGCCTTTGCATTTATCAATTTGCAAATCAAAGAAGGGGGACATGGTGGGAGCAGGCCCCCCAAAATCTGGCCATAAACTGGCCCCAAAACTGACCATAAACAAAATCTCTGCAGCACTGTAACATGTTCATAATGGCCCTAATGCCCATGCTGGAAGACTGTGGGTTTATGGGAATGAGGGCAATGAACATCTGGCCCTCCCAGGGCGGAAAACCACTTAAAGTCATTCTTAAGCCACAAACAATTGCATGAGTGATCTGTGCCTTAAGGACATGCTCCTGCTGCAGTTAACTAGCCCAATCTATTGCTTTAATTTGGCCCATCTCTTGTTTCCCTTAAGGGATACTTTCAGTTAATTTAATATCTATAGAAACAATGCTAATGACTGGTTTGCTGTTAATAAATATGTGGGTAAATCCCTGTTAGGGGCTCTCAGCTCTGAAGGTTGTGAGACCCCTGATTTCCCATTTCACACCTCTATATTTCTGTGTGTGTGTCTTTAATTCCTCTAGTGCCGCTGAGTTAGGGTCTCCCTGACTGAGCTCCTCTCAGCACACTAACACCCTAATACTGCACTTTTCCAATGGTCTTAGCAAATGGCACACCAGGAGATTAAATCCTGTGCCTGGCTCAGATGGTCCCAAGCCCACAGAGCCTCACTCACTACTAGCACAGCAGTCTGAGGTCAAACTGCAAGGCAGCAGCCAGGCTGGGGAAGGGGCGTCCGCCATTGCTGAGGCTTGAGTAGGTAGACAAAGTGGCAAGGAAGCTCGAACTAGGTGGAGCCCACCACAGCTCAAGAAGGCCTGCCTGCCTCTGTAGACTCCACCTCTGGGGGCAGGACATAACTGAACAAAAGGCAGCAGAAACTTCTGCAGACTTCAACGTCCCTGTCTGACAGCTTTGAAGAGAGTAGTGGTTCTCCTAGCACAGAGTCTGAAATCTGAGAATGGACAGATTGCCTCCTCAAGTCAGTCCCTGACCCCTGAGTAGCCTAACTGGGAGACAACTCCCAGTAGCAGCTGACTGACACCTCATACAGCCGGGTGCCCCTCTGAGACGAAGCTTTCAGAGGAAGGATGAGGCAGCAACAACTGCTGTTCTGCAATATTCGCTGTTCTGCAGGCTCCACTGGTGATACCCAGGCAAAGAGGGTCTAGAGTGGACCTCCAGCAAACTCCAATAGACCTGCAGCTGGGGATCCTGACTATTAGAAGGAAAACTAATAAACAGAAAGGACATCCACACCAAAACCCCATCTGTACATCACCATCATCAAACACCAAAGGTAGATAAAACCAAAAAGATGAGGAGAAACCAGAGCAGAAAAGCTGAAAATTCTAAAAATCAGAGCGCCTCTTCTCCTCCAAAGGAATGTAGCTCCTCGCCAGCAATGGAACAAGGCTAGACAGAGAATGACTTTGACGAGTTCAGAGAAGAAGGCTTCAGACAATCTGTAATAACAAACTTCTCCGTGCTAAAGGAGGATGTTCAAACCCATCGCAAAGAAGCTAAAAACCTTGAAAAAGATTAGATGAATGGCTAACTAGAATAAAAAGCATACAGAAGACATTAAATGACCTCGTGGAGCTGAAAGCCATGGCATGAGAATTACCTGATGCATGCACAAGCTTCAGTAGCTGATTCGATCAAGTGGAAGAAAGTGTATCAATGAACGAAGACCAAATGAATGAAATGAAGCGAGAGGAGAAGTTTAGAGAAAAAACAGTAAAAAGAAATGAACAAAGCCTCCAAGAAATATGGGACTATGTGAAAAGACCAAACTTATGTCTGACTGGTGTACCTGAAAGTGGCGGGGAGAATGGAACCAAGTTGGAAAACACTCTTCAGGATATTATCCATGAGAACTTCCCCAACCTAGCAAGGTAGGCCAACATTCAAATTCAGGAAATGCAGAGAATGCCACAAAGATACTCCTCAAGAAGAGTAACCCCAAGACACATAACTGTCAGATTCACCAAAGTTGAAATGAAGGAAAAAATTTTAAGGGCAGCCAGACAGAAAGGTTGGGTTACCCACAAAGGGAAGCCAATCAGACCAACAGTGTATCTCTTGGCAGAAACTCTATAAAGCCAGAAGAGAGTGGGGGCCAATATTCACCATTCATAAAGAAAAGAATTTTCAGCCCAGAATTTCATGTCCAGCCAAACTAAGCTTCATAAAAGAAGGAGAAATAAAATTCTTTACAGACAAGCAAATGCTGAGAGATTTTGTCACCACCAGGCCTGCCTTGCAAGAGCTCCTTAAGGAAGCACTAAAAATGGAAAGGAACAACTGGTACCAGCCACTGCAAAAACATGACAAATTGTAAAAACCATCAATGCAAGGAAGAAACTGCATCAAATAATGAGCAAAATATCCAGCTAACATCATAATGACAGGATCAAATTCACACATAACAATATTAACCTTAAATGGACTAAATGCCCTCATTAAAAGAAACAGACTGGCAAATTAGATAAAGAGTCAAGACCCATCAGTGAGCTGTATACAGGAGACCCATCTCACATGCAGAGACACACATAGGCTCAAAATAAAGGGATGGAGGAAGATCAACCAAGCAAATGGAAAATAAAAAAAGGTAGGGTTTGCAATCCTAGTCTCTGATACAACAGACTTTAAACCAACAAAGATCAAAAGAGAAGGAAGGCCATTACATAATGGTAAAGGGATCAATTCAACAAGAAGAGCTAACTATCCTAAATATATATGCACCCAATACAGGAGCACCCAGATTCATAAAGCAAGTCCTTAGTGACCTACAAAGAGACTTAGACTCTCACACAATAATAATGGGAGACTTTACCCCACTGTCAACATTAGACAGATCAACGAGACAGAATGTTAACAAGGATATCCAGGAATTGAACTCAGCTCTGCACCAAGCAGACCTAATAGACATCTACAGAACTCTCCACCCCAAATCAACAGAATCTACATTCTTCTCAGCACCACACCACACCTATTCCAAAACCGACCACATAGTTGGAGGTAAAGCACTCCTCAGCAAATGTAAAATAACAGAAATTATAACAAATTGTGTCTGAGACCACAGGGCAAACAAACTAGAACTCAAGATTAAGAAACTCACTCAAAACCGCTCAACTACATGGAAACTGAACAACCTGCTCCTGAATGACTACTGGGTACATAACAAAAGGAAGGCAGATATAAAGATGTTCTTTGAAACCAATGAGAACAAAGACACAACATACCAGAATCTCTGGGACACATTTAAAGCGGTATGTAGAGGGAAATTTATAGCACTAAATGCCCACAACAGAAGGCAGGAAAGATCTAAAATTGACACCCTAACATCACAATTAAAGAACTAGAGAAGCAAGAGCAAACACCTTCAAAAGCTAGGAGAAGGCAAGAAATAACATCAGAGCAGAACTGAAGGAGATAGAGATGCAAGAAACACTTCAAAAAATCAATGAATCCAGGAGATTGTTTTTTGAAAAGATCAACAAAATCGACAGACTGCTAAGACTAATAAAGAAGAAAAGAGAGAAGAATCAAATAGATGTATTAAAAATGTTAAAGGGGATATCACCACTGATCTGACAGAAATACAAACTACTATCAGAGAATACTAGAAACACCTCTACGTAAATAAACTAGAAAATCTAAAAGAAATGGAAAAATTCCTGGACACATACACCCTCCCAAGACTAAACCAGGAAGAAGTTGAATCCCTGAATAGACCAATAACAGGCTCTGAAATTGAGGCAACAATTGGTAGCCTACCAACCAAAAAAAGTCCAGGACCAGATGGATTCACAGCCAAATTCTACCAGACGTACAAAGAGGAGCTTGTGCCATTCCTTCTGAAACTATTCCAATGAACAGAAAAAGAGGGAATCCTCCATTACTCATTTTATGAGGCCAGCATCATCCTGATACCAAAGCCTGGCAGAGACACAGCAGAAAAAGAGAATTTTAGACCAATATCCCTGATGAACATCAATGCAAAATTCCTCAATAAAATACTGGCAAACCGAATCCAGCAGCACATCAAAAAGCTTATCCACCATGATCAAGTTGGCTTCATCCCTGGGATGCAAGGCTGGTTCAACATATGCAAATCAATAAACATAATCCATCATATAAACAGAACCGAAGACAAAAACCACATGATTATCTCAATAGATGCAGAAAAGGCCTTCGACAAAATTCAACAGCCCTTCATGCTAAAAACTCTCAATAAACTAGTATTGATGGGACGTATCTCAAAATAATAAGAGCTATTTATGACAAACCCACAGCCAATATCATACTAAATAGGCAAAAACTGGAAAGATTCCCTTTGAAAACTGGCACAAGACCGGGATGCCCTCTCTCACCACTTCTATTCAACATAGTGTTGGAAGTTCTGGCCAGGGCAATCAGGCAGGAGAAAGAAATAAAGGGTATTCAATTAGGAAAAGAGGAAGTCAAATTGTCCCTGTTTGCAGATGATATGATTGTATATTTAGAAAATCCCATTGTCTCAGCCCAAAATCTCCTTAAGCTGATAAGCAACTTCAGCAAAGTCTCAGGATACAAAATCAATGTGCAAAAATCACAAGCATTCTTATACACCAATAACAGACAAACAGAGAGCCAAATCATGAGTGAACTCCCTTTCACAATTGCTTCAAAGAGAATAAAATACCTAGGAATCCAACTTACAAGGGATGTGAAGGACCTCTTCAAATTACAAACCACTGCTCAATGAAATTAAAGAGGACACAAACAAATGGAAGAATGTTACATAATTATGGATAGGAAGAATCAATATCGTGAAAATGGCCACACTGCCCAAGGTAATTTATAGATTAAATGCCATCTCCATCAAGCTACCAATGACTTTCTTCACAGAATTGGAAAAAAATACTTCAAAGTACATATGGAACCAAAAAAGAGACCACATTGCCAAGAAAATCCTAAGCCAAAAGAACAAAGCTGGAGGCATCACGCTACCTGACTTCAAACTGTACTGCAAGACTACAGTAACCAAAACAGCAGGTACTGGTACCAAAACAGAGATATAGACCAATGGAACAGAACAGAGCCCTCATAAGTAATACCACACATCTACAACCATCTGATCTGTGACAAACCTGTCAAAAATCAGAAATGGGGAAAGGATTCCCTATCTAAACAAATGGTGCTGGGAAAACTGGCTAGCCATATGTAGAAAGCTGAAACTGGATCCCTTCCTTACACCTTAAACAAAAATTAATTCAAGATGGATTAAAGATTAAATGTTAGACCTAAGCCATAAAAACCCCAGAAGTAAAACCTAGGCAATAACATTCAGGACATAGGCATGGGCAAGAACTTCATGACTAAAACACCAAAAGCAATGGCAACAAAAGCCAAAATTGACAAATGGGATCTAATTAAACTAAAGAGCTTCTGCACAGCAAAAGAAACCACCATCAGAGTGAATAGGCAACCTACAGAATGGGAGAAAATTTTTACCATCTACCCATCTGACAAAGGGCTAATATCCAGAATCTACAAAGAACTTAAGCAAATTTACAAGAAAAAAATGAAACAACGCCATCAAAAAGCAGGCAAAGGATATGAACAGACACTTCTCAAAAGAAGACATTTATGCAGCCAACAGACACATGAAAAAATGCTCATCATCACTGCCCATCAGAGAAATGCAAATCAAAACCACAATGAGATACCATCTCACACCAGTTAGAATGGTGATCATTAAAAAGTCAGGAAACAACAGGTGCTGGAGAGGGTGTGGAGAAATAGAAACACTTTTGCACTGTTGGTGGGACTGTAAACTAGTTCAACCATTGTGGAAGGCAGTGTGGCGATTCCTCAAGGATCTGGAACTAGAAATACCATTTGAGCCAGTGATCCCATTACTGGATATACACCCAAAGGATTATAAATCATGCTGCTATAAAGTCACATGCATACATATGTTTATTACGGCACTATTCACAATAGCAAAGACCTGGAACCAACCCAAATGTCCATCAACAATAGACTGGATTAAGAAAATATGGTACATATACACCATGGAACACTATACAGCCATAAAAAAGGATGAGTTCATGTCCTTTATAGGGACATGGATGAAGCTGGAAACCATCATTCTCAGCAAACTATCACAAGGACAGAAAACCAAACACCACATGTTCTCACTCATAGGTGGGAATTGACCAATGAGAACACTCGGACACAGGATGGGGAACATCACACACTGGGGCCTGTTGTGGGGTGGGGGGAGCAGGGAGAGATAGCATTAGGAGATATACCTATTGTAAATGACTAGTTAATGTGTATGGCACTCCAACATGGCACATGTATACATATGTAACAAATCTGCATGTCGTGCACATGTACCCTAGAAATTAAAGTATAATAAAAAAAAAAAAAGAAAAGAAAAACAAAGAAAACTAGCATGGGGCCTAGGAGGAGCTTAATAAATAATATGAAATGAATACATACTTGAAGAATCATCATAGAAATTAACTCAGATGATCTGATTTTTATCAATGGTATAACACATTAAACATTAGATAGTTGGATAATCTTTTTAAAACATTTATTTTTAGTAGTACAAATTATGCAAATTTTAAAGTATAGTAGCTTGGTAAAAATGTTTGTCCAAATACCTAATGCATGTGGGGCTGAAAACCTAGATTACGGGTTGATGGGTGCAGCAAAGCACCATGGCACATGTATACCTATGTAACAAACCTGCATGTCCTGCACATGCTTCCCAGAACTTATAGTAAAATAAAAATTAAAATTTATATTAAAAAATGTTTGTCCATCAAAATCTCTGTCATGTTTTTTGGAAATTAGTTATAATTATACTCTTGCATCAAGAAATCTATATCACAAATCAGGAATAGCATACTGAGGTGTTAAAAATGTACAGTATATTAATATTATAATAATACAAAATAAATGTCTTAAAATATGAGGAGCATAGCCTTCAAACTATGTTTAAAAAATAAGAAGGAAAGAAAAGACTGCCATCCAAAATAGAATGTGTTATTTAAGCTGTCAGTTGATTTAACTCTTTAAACAGTTTTTCAAAGTGATGGGATGTTAATGTTGTTCAGAATTCTCAATAGTACTTACTCTTTTCAAATTCTTAAGCTTCAAGATCCCTTCAGTTAATGGGAAATATATTTGTCATTAAAGGTAGTTTTGTCTTGTTTATTCTTCTAATTTATCTTCAATAGATATGTGTACTTATGTAAAGTTTGTTCAAATATATATATAAAAACTACAATTTTTAAGACTATTGGAAAATTGACAAAATCCAATGTACATTTAGCTATCCTTGTTTTGCTTATTGGCTCTAATTCATTAAAGGTCTGTTGGAGAATAGTGAATATAACATAGGTCTATTGGGTTATTTTCTCCCATTTGTTCTTCTGTTTTCATCCTTTTTTAGTGAAGAAACAAAATAAAAAGTTAAAGTAGAGGTAGCCTCTCATACACTCAGGAAGTAGAGCATTAAAATGGCTAATTCCAGGCTTCCTGGAGAGAGTAGTGACATGCATACTCCAGTCTTTTCCTGGAATGTAGCAAAATCTCTGAATGCCTCTGAGAGACTCTTATCACTTTTTTTTTTTTTTTTTTTTTTTTTTGAGACGGAGTCTCACTCTGTCGCCCAGGCTGGAGTGCAGTGGCATGATCTAGGATCACTTCAACCTCCACCTCCCGGGTTCAAGCAATTCTCCTGCCTCAGCCTCCTGAGTAGCTGGGGCTATAGGCGCATGCCACCACGCCCAGCTAATTTTTTGTATTTTCAGTAGAGACGGGGTTTCACCGTGTTAGCCAAGATGGTCTCGATCTCCTGACCTCGTGATCCGCACACCTGGGTCTCCCAAAGTGCTGGGATTACCGGTGTGAACCACTGCGCCTGGCCCCTCTTATGACTTTTCTTAATGTCTTTCTGAATTTTTCCTTTACTAATTTCTATGACCTACAAGACTGAAATCATTTGGGCAAACATTTGCTCTATTGTTTTAAAGACATTCTGAATAAATTAATCAAAATCTTCATCTTAACCTCACATATAATTACTTAGCATAGCTCTTAAACATAGTCAAAAGTCAATAAGTATATGTTGATTCCATAAACATTTCATCTTGATGATCAACAGGGCCAAAAGATAAATGTAAATCAGATGTTCTTTCGATTTAATCACTATGGTTTTTCAATAGTCTAAATGTAATACTAGAATAGCACATCAAATGTGCTATTAATGACATGCAAAGTGCATTCTGGAGATTTAAAGATAAAACAACTTTTTTTTCCACTTTTGTATTTTAAATATATTTTTAGATATCAGTATGTTTAATATGTTTCTTCTATGAGTTTAGATTAGCAATATTTGTATTTTTTTACATTAACACAGTTTATTTATTATGTTAGATTGCATTAAGCCCAAACCAATCAAAGATGTGTCACATAAAGATTTTATTTTCTTCATCCCCCACTACTCTTCTAGGAGGAAAACCCCTGGATGAAAATAAAGTAGCCTGGAAGTGTAGAAATATTGCTTCTGCCTCGCGTGTTATGTGTCTGTTGATCAGAAGAGTCTGACTAGGGTGGTGTGATGACAAAATGAGGCATCACGTATACTGCACTCAGCAAAGCACCCGGCATGTGAGATGATGTAGAATGAATATTAATCATTGCTTCCAAAGTCCTTGGAGAGCGAGCCAGAGCCTTCTTTCATAGTCTCATGTCTTCATCCTTTCACCTACCTAGCCTCTAGACATGGACTAAGCAACATTTCCCAGAGCTTTCAGGTTTCTGGGCCTTCACTCATGTTGTTGCCTTTTCCTAGAATGCCTTTCCATCAATGCATCCACATGAAAAATTCCATGAAGACACAGTTTTATTATTAAGCTCTCCTTTTTTCTCTCTGTAACACTCTGGTTGAACAAAATTTCTTTTAACAATATGTATATCCCTACTCTTCCAGTTTATTTTGACACTTTAAGAGATTACATAATGAAATAAGATGATAGAATCTAGAGTTCTGATTTCTAAACTCCCATTTATTAGTAATATGTGATATGACGTTGCAAGGGTCATAGGTTTTCTTATATCATCATTTTATATGGGATTTTATATTAATATCCATTTATATCAATGGGCTTTTATAAAAGGTAAAACAATGCAAGGTGCTTTGCAATGTATAATGTTATTGAATAATAGGATTTTTTTTATTGAATATAAAGAAGATCAGAATATCTTTGGGGAAAAATGAACCAAATAGCTAAAGTTGGACCCTGAATATTTAAAAGAGAACATCATAAAAGTTTAAATAGATTGAAATAATAAAAAACAATATTAGCATGCATGAAACCTGTCCTATTCAAAATTATTATTTTTCATGGTGACAGTTTTATGAATCATAGGTTAACAAAATAATTATGTATACTAGATTATTTTATTATATCCAATTGTCAGGTGAATATCACATTCAAATTTTGCCTAGATATTCCACTCTTTTATATGAGATACACAATTTAGGTAAAAAAATAGTATAGAGAAGTGTCATATTCCTAGGAATGAAAAATTGAGCTCAATGGAATCAAATTATGTGAGGCCTGGGGTACTATAATAGTTTAGACAAAACTATGGAAATGGAAATTGCAGGATACTGTGTATTTATATGTTGAGTATGTAAAACATAAGTTATGCTGATAATTAAAGTCCATTTCAGAAACATTTCTGTGACTTTTAATATTTCTGTGACTTCTGACTCAATGCTTACTTTGTGACTCAGCCAAGTTTCAGCATTAATTTAGGAAGCTAGACTACTCAAGAGAAACCTCTCTAAAATTAAGCAAACAGATGTCTGCTGATATCGTTTGCTAAGTAATTATTTATAACAAACAATTAGTTGAATTTGTGTAAACAATAACTTAGACTTTTAGATTTCTAGGCATAATTTTATAGCTGAAACATGCAGCCCTATTTTCCTGTCAGAGGAAAAGAGGAACTACTTAGGGATGAAAAAATATTTAATATATGTCCATATTTAGAGTTTCTTTCTAGCTTTAGAGCCCTGTTTTGAATGTGATAATGTTATTATACTGATTACTTTGCAAATATGTTTCTATTCTATTTTGGAAAAAAAAAGTTTGTCCTAGACATAAATAGATTTGATATCCACTCTTGCAAAGACTACAACATGTGCATGTTTATATAGCAGTACTCAGAAATCATTTATGAATCAGGAGAGGACATGTGGCCAGCAGCTTCTCATTTTGCTCAGGCATGGCATCCAAGGGTGCTGAGGCTGGGTTGTGCATAGGAAGATAAAGATCATATAACTTTACCATGTACAATAAGCTGTATAGTATCAGCAGCTGCCTTAGAAAATGGTTAATCATTTCCCAGATAATAATATGGTGGGTTCCTTGCTGGTTGGTAGGTTCCAGGCATGTGTTGCAAAATCAGGGGACAATTAAGTGGTATGAATTTCTCCAACTCACTAATAAAGGTCATTTATGGATAATATAGTGGGTGTGTAATCTTATACAATGAGTTTCTACTAAAAATGATTTTTGAGTTTCTTCTACTTTTAAGGAGAAAACATGAATAATAAACTTCAAAATATCAATTTACATAAACTGTCAAAAGTGGTTCAAGCCTAGAGCTGCCTTGAATCGGGTTCTATTACCCTCAAGAAAATTTCACACCCAGTCACACTTATCTCCCTTTCTATGAGAGGTTATTCATGATGTTTCTCATTTTAGTAACAAATAACACAGTCACGTGTTTTCAGAAGAAGTACAACTTCTTCTGCATTTCTTTGTCTCTGTCATTTTTTGCTTCATTGGCATATGCTTTTCCTGCTCCTTTTTATTAGATTTGTATACAGTGCATGATTTATCATGCATCTGTTATAAGTATGAGTAGCTGCATATTTAATTTAAGGATTAATTTAAGGATTGGGTTTGTCTTGATGTAACAAAATATTCAAATAACAGGGTATCACACATAATAGAGGTATTTTTTTCTCTTACATAACCTTACATCAGGAAGTAGGCATTTAGGTCTAAGGTAATGACTTAAGATGTCAGATCTTTTAGCTCCTCCCAGCTTTTATATTTTTAAGACAGCTCCTGCAGCTTTAGACATTATGTCTGCTTCCTACAGAAGCAGATGGATATATGAAAGTCAAAAAGGACACAGGTCAGTCAGTGAAATGTGCTTTCTTTTTAAAAGAGGTTTCAACTTGTATTTGACCCATAGTGACTACAACAGTGGGACAAATCCAACACTAATTGAAAGTAGGCCTAGATATGGAATTTTTCATTGAGCATATTGACTTTATCAATACAATTGAATTCTATCATGCAAGAAAATGGGATAGGCAACTAGCAGTTTCTGCCACAGGACCAACTATGAACAGGTAAGTTTGCAAGAAGAGCAGCCATAATTTTTTTTTTTTAATTACCAGAAAGTTTTATTTCTTGTTGATATACAGCTTAATGCACCAAGAAAATGTAGCATTTTAACAATTCTAAACTTAACACTGTCTAATACAAGTTTTGAATACTTGTATTTAAATACAAGTTTACTTATTTATTTTTTGAAATGGAGACTCATTCTATTCCCCAGGCTAGAGTGCAGTGGTGTGATCTCAACTAACTGCAATGTCTGCATCCTGGGTTCAAGCAATTCTTGTGCCTCAGCCTCCTGAGTAGCTGGGATTACAGGCACCCGCCACCATGCCTGGCTAATTTTTGTATTTTTAGTACAGAATGGGCTTCGCCACGGTGGCCAGGCTGGTTTCAAACTCCTGACCTCAAATGATCCACCCGCCTCGGCCTCCCAAAGTGCTGGGATTATAGGCGTGAGACACCATGCCTGGCCAAATACAAGTTTAGTCTTCAAAATATATAAAGCAAAAACTGAAGGAAGTAACTAGGTGAAAAGAGAAATTAGAGGACATGTGGATTGGGCTAGCAACAACTCATCTCAGTGACCAATCTTTTTTTTTTTTTTTTTTTAGTATTTATTGATCATTCTTGGGTGTTTCTCGGAGAGGGGGATGTGGCAGGGTCATAGGATAATAGTGGAGACAAGGTCAGCAGATAAACACATGAACAAAGGTCTCTGGTTTTCCTAGGCAGAGGTCCCTGTGGCCTTCCACAGTGTTTGTGTCCCTAGGTACTTGAGATTAGGGAGTGGTGATGACTCTTAAGGAGCATGCTGCCTTCAAGCATCTGTTTAACAAAGCACATCTTGCACCGCCCTTAATCCATTTAACCCTGAGTTGACACAGCACGTTTCAGAGAGCACGGGGTTGGGGGTAAGGTTATAGATTAACAGCATCCCAAGGCAGAAGAATTTTTCTTACTACAGAACAAAATGGAGTCTCCTATGTCTACTTCTTTCTACACAGACACAGTAACAATCTGATCTCTCTTTCTTTTCCCCACATTTCCCCCTTTTCTTTTCAACAAAACCACCATCGTCATCATGGCCCATTCTCGATGGTCGCTGTCTCTTCGGAGCTGTTGGGTACACCTCCCAGATGGGGCGGTCGGGCAGAGGCACTCCTCACTTCCCAGAAGATGGGCAGGTGGGCAGAGATGCTCCTCACTTCCCAGATGGGGTGGCCGGGCAGAGGCGCTCCTCAATTCCCAGATGATGGGCAGCCGGGCAGAGGCACTCCTCACCTCCCAGATGGGGCGGCCAGGCAGAAGCACTCCCTGCTTCCCAGACGGGGCGGCTGCTGGGCAGAGGTGCTCCCTGCTTCCCAGACAGGGCGGCCGGGCAGAGGCACTCCCCACTTCCCAGACGGGGCGGCCAGGCAGAGGCACTCCTCACATCCCAGATGGGGTGGCTGGGCAGAGGCGCTCCTCACTTCCCAGAGGGGGTGGCCGGGCAGAGGCGCTCCTCACATCCCAGAAGGGGCGGCCGGGCAGAGGCGCTCCTCACTTCCCAGATGATGGGCAGCCGGGCAGAGGCACTCCTCACCTCCCAGACGGGGCGGCCGGGCAGAGGCGCTACTCACTTCCCAGACGATGGGCGGCCGGGCAGAGGCGCTCCTCAATTCCCAGATGGGGCGGCCGGGCAGAGACGTTCCTCACCTCCCAGACGGGGGGGCTGGGCAGAGGCGCTCCTCACTTCCTCCCAGACAGGGCGGCTGGGCAGAGGTGCCCCTCACTTCCCAGATGGGGCGGCCGGGCAGAGGCGCTCCCCACTTCCCAAATGGGGCAGCCGGGCAGAGGCGCTCCCCACTTCCCAGACGGGGTGGTGGCCGGGCAGAGGTGCTCCCGACTTCCCAGACGGGGTGGCGGCCGGGCAGAGGCACTCCTCAGTTCCCAGATGGGGTGAGCAGCCATAATTTGTTTGTAAAAGCGTATTATTTATTTGTTAGGTTATATTATGTTATTAAACACATAATGATAAACATGGCAAGGTAGAAAGAGACTCAAATTTTAACCTAGGCTCCACTGTAAATCAGCTGTGTAAATTTAGGTAAATCATATATATTCCCTGAGCCACAGTTTCCTCAGTTCTAGAAGTCACCCCTTCTACCTATAAACATTAAGCAAACAGTTGCATAATTGAAAACACACTCAAACTGTCCAAAAAAATGCATGTGTAATCACAATTCAATTTACGGATTTACATAAAGTAAGTTGTATATTACAGATTGCTTTGTGTTTAATAACACAAAAATAAGATATTGCACTTAAGTTTAAGTATTGCAATTCTTGGCCGGGTGCAGTGGCTCATGCCTGTAATCCCAGCACTTTGGGAGGCTGAGACGGGTGGATCACTAGGTCAGGAGTTCAAGACCAGCCTGGCCAAGATGGTGAAACCCTGTCTCTACTGAAAATACAAAAATTAGCTGGGCATGGTGGCAGGCACTTGTAATCCCAGCTACTCGGGAGGCTGAGGCAGGGAATTGCTTGAACCCACGAGGCAAAGGTTACAGTGAGCCGAGATCGCGCCAATGCACTCTAGTCTGTGTGACAGCGTGAGAAGCCGTCTCAAAAAAAAAAAAAAAAAAAGTATTGCAATTCTTGTCATGTATTTAATTTTTATACTTATTCAAATCTGATAAACAATAAACAATATATTAGTAAATTAAAAGTAATGGCAAAAATACATTTACTTAGGGGACAATATGTATTTCATAGATATTTGTCTTTGTACTTTAGGGAGTAAAAGCTATCTTAACATACCATACAAGTATTCTTAACACTATTTTATTATCTGTCATTTTTTATTTGCACCATTTAATATCTATAATTTCCTCTGCTTTAACATTTTAGCTTATCTTTGTAAATTCTATCAGAAAACTATTCAAAACAGGGTTTTCCAGGTTTAAAAAAAATTATTTCTGCCCAGTAGAATGAAGTGAGAACAAAAATGAAAAATTAAAGCAAATAAATGAAAGCATTAATTGTTTACACGTAAATCTTTCAAAGTTCTCTTTACTTGGAGCTAGTTTTGTGGTTAAAAAAACAACAACAACTACATTTTCACTAAAAATATTTTCTCATCTAACTTTATACTACTAATGACTTGCCACAAAATAAAGAGAGGAAAAAGTTAAAATATCTAAACATATTATTCTGAAATATAAAAACTGACTTATAAATCAGAATGCTCAATTAAGTTTGCTTGGTATATTGTTTTATAAGCCTCATCTTAAACAACATTTTAAAAAGTAGATGCTTAGACGGTGTCATTATTACTTATTTACTCATGGCCCATTGACAGGTAATTAGACTTTCTATTTGGCTATCTTCTTGATTAGAGCAACTAACATTGGTTAAAATGAACATTTGGGTAATGGGAAAGAGCACATCTATTTGGATCACTTTTTTTTAATCACCAGTATATAGTACAGTGACTGACACATAGTTGGTGTTCAACAAATATTTGCTGAATTAATGAACAAATGGAATAATAAATGACAACTTATAAGACAAAATTTAGATTTTTAAAAATTTAGTAATTCTTGTGTCAACCAATATGCCTCTTGAAATATCATTTATCAATTAGATACAACCAAATTTCATTATTACATTTAATTATTAAAGATTGCCTCACTTCTGTATCTGATGTAACTCATAAAACTGTAACTTTTTAAAAATCTTAAAATGTTAGCTATAATTGCATTCCATTTCAAGATGGCCAAATAGGAACAGATCCGATCTACAGATCCCAGCGTGATCAACGCAGAAAACGGTGATTTCTGCATTTCCTACTGAGGTACCTGGTTCATCTCACTGGGACTGGTTGAACAGTAGGTGCAGCCCATGGAGGGTGAGCCAAAGCTGGGCAGGATACCACCTCTCCCAGGAAGCACAATGGGTTGGGGGATTTCCCTTTCCGAGCCAAGGGAAGCCATGACAGATGATATCTGGAACATTGGGACAATCCTGCACAAATAATGCACTCTTCCAATGGTCTTAGCAAATGACATACCAGGAGATTATATCCCACGCCTGGTTTGGCGGGTGCCATGCCCATGGAGCCTTGCTGACTGCTAGCGCAGCAGTCTGAGATTGACTTGCGAGGCAGCAGCCTGGCAGGGGGAGGGGCGTCTGCCATTGCTGAGGCTTGAGTAGGTAAACAAAGCAGCCTGGGAAGCTCACACTGGATGGAGCCCACCTCAGCTCTGCAAGGCCTGCTGCCTCTGTAGACCCCACCACTGGGAGCAGGGCATGGCTGAACAAGAGGCAGCAGAAACTTCTGCAGACTTAAACGTCCCTGTCTGACAGTTCTGAAGAGAGCAGTAGTTCACCCAGCTCAGTGTTTGAGCTCTAAGAAGGACAGACTGACTCCTCAAGTGGGTCCCTGACACTTCCCAGTAGGGGCCAACTGACACCTGATACAGGCAGGCACCCCTCTGGGACAAAGCTTCCAGAGGAAGGATCAGGCAGCAGTATTTGCTGTTCTGAAATATTTGCTGTTCTGCAACCTCCGCTGGTCATACCCAGGCAAACAGGGTCTGGAGTGGACCTCCAGCAAACTGCAACAGACCTGCAGCTGAGGGACCTGACTCTTAGAAGGAAAACTAACAAACAGAAAGGAATAGCATCAAGATCAACAAAAAGGACATCCGAACCAAAACCACATCTGTAGGACACCAGCATCAAAGACCAAAGGTAGATAAAACCACAAAGATGGGGAGAAACCAGAGCAGAAAAGCTGAAAATTCTAAAAATTAGAGCACCTCTTCTCCTTCAAAGGATCACAGCTCCTCGCCAGCAATGGAAAAAAGGTGGACGGAGAATGACTTTGACGAGCTGACAGAAGTAGACTTCAGAAGGTCGGTAATAACAAACTTCTTCGAGCTAAAGGAAGACGTTTGAACCCATTGCAAAGAAGCTAAAAACATTGAAAATAATTAGACGAATGGCTAACTAGAATGAACAGTGTGGAGAAGACCTTAAATGACCTGATGGAGCTGAAAATCATGGCGCAAGAAATACATGATGCATGCACAACCTTCAAAAGCCAATTCAATCAAGTGGAAGAAAGGGTATCAGTGATGGAAGATCAAATGAATGAAATGAAGTGAGAAGAGAAGTTTAGAGAAAAAAGAATAGAAAGAAATGAACAAAGCCTACAAGAAATATGGGACTATGTGAAAAGACCAAGTCTACATTTGATTGGTATACTTCAAAGTGACGGGGAGAATGGAACCAAGTTGAAAAACACTCTCCAGGATATTATCCAGGAGAACTTCCCCAACCTAGCAAGGTAGGCCAACATTCAAATTCAGGAAATACAGAGAATACCACAAAGATCCTCCTCAAGAAGAGCAACCCCAAGACACATAATTGTCAGATTCACCAAGGTTGAAATGAAGGAAAAAATATTAAGGGCAGCCAGAGAGAAAGGTCGGGTTACCCACAAAGGGAAGCCCATCAGACTAACAGTAGATCCCTCAGCAGAAACCCTGCAAGCCAGAAAAAAGTGGGGGTCAATATTCAACATTCTTAAAGGAAAGAATTTTCAACCCAGAATTTCATATCCAGCCAAACTAAGCTTCATAAGTGAAGGAGAAATAAAATTCTTTACAGACAAGCAAATGCTGAGAGATTTTGTCACCACCAGGCCTGCCTTACAAGAGCTCCTGAAGGAAGCACTAAATATGGAAAGGAACAACTGGTACCAGCCACTGCAAAAACATGCCAAAAGGTAAAGGCCATCGATGCTTGGAAGAAACTGCATCAACTAACGAGCAAAATAATCAGCTAACATCATAATGACAGGATCAAATTCACACATAACAATATTAACCTTAAATGTAAATGGGCTAAATGCCCTGATTAAAAGACACAGACTCCCAAATTGGATAGAGTCAAGACCCATCAGTGTGCTGTATTCAGGAAACCCATCTCACTTGCAGAGACACACATAGGCTCAAAATAAAGGGATAGAGGAAGATCTACCAAGCAAATGCAAAGCAAAAAAAAGCAGGGATTGCAATCCTAGTCTCTGAAAAAACAGACTTTAAACCAACAAAGATCAAAAGAGACAAGGAAGGCCATTACATAAGGGTAAAGGAATCAATTCAACGAGAAGAGCTAACTATCCTAAATATATATGTACCCAACACAGAAGCATCTAGATTCATAAACCAAGTCCTTAGAGACCTACAAAGAGACTTAGACTCCCAAACAATAATAATGGGAAACTTTAACACCCCACTGTCACTATTAGGCAGATCAACAAGACAGAAGGTTAACAAGGATATCCAGGAATTGAACTCAGCTCTGCACCAAGCAGACCTAATAGACATCTACAGAACTCTCCACCCCAAATCAACAGAATATACATTCTTGTCAGCACCACATCACACTTATTCCAAAATTGACCACATAGGTGGAAGTAAAGCACTCCTCAGCCAATGTAAAAGAACAGACATCACAACAAACTGTCTCTAAGACCATAGTGTACTCAAACTAGAACTCAGGATTAAGAAACTCACTCAAAACCACTCAAGTACATGGAAACTGAACAATCTGCTCTTGAATGACTATTGGTTAAATAATAAATGAAGGCAGAAATAAAGATGTTCTTTGAAACCAATGAGAACAAAGACACAACATACCAGAATCTCTGGGACACATTTAAAACTGTGTGTAAAGGGAAATTTATAGCACTAAATGCCCACAAGAGAAAGCAGGGAATATGTAAAATTGACAGCCTAACATCACAATAAAAAGAAGTAGAGAGGCAAGAGCAAACACATTCAAAAGCGAGCAGAAGGCAAAAAATAACTAAGATCAGAGCAGAACTGAAGGAGATAGAGACACAAAAAACCCTTCAAAAAAATCAATGAATCCAGGAGCTGGTTTTTTGAAAAGATCAACAAAATTGATAGTCCACTAGCCAGACTAATAAAGAAGAAAAAAGAGAATAATCAAATAGACACAATAAAAAATGATAAAGGGGATATGACCACCAATCCCACAGAAATACAAACTACCATCAGAGGATACTATAAACACCTCTATGCAAATAAACTACAAAACCTAGAAGAAATGGATAGATTCCTGGACACATACACCCTCCCAAGACTAAACCAGGAAGAAGTTGAATATCTGAATAGACCAGTAACAGGCTCTGAAATTGAGGCAATAATTAAGAGCCTAGCAACCAAAAAAAGTCCGGGACCAGACGGATTCACAGCCAAATTCTACCAGAGGTACAAGGAGGAGCTGGTACCATTCCTTCTGAAAATATTCCAATCAATAGAAAAAGAGGAATTCCTCTCTAACTCATTTTATGAGGCCAGCATCATCCTGATACCAAAGCCTGACAGAGCCACAACCAAAAAAGAGAATTTTAGATGAGTATCCCTGATGAACATTAATCTAAAAATCCTCAATAAAATACTGGAAACCGAATCAGGCAGCACATCTAAAAGCTTATCCACCACTATGAAGTCGACTTCATCCCTGGGATGCAAGGCTGTTTCAACATATGCAAATCAATAAACATAATCCATCACATAAACAGAACCAAAGACAAAAACCACATGATTATCTCAGTAGATGCAGAAAAGGCCTTTGACAAAATTCAACAGTGCTTCATGCTAAAAACTCTCAATAAACTAGGTATTGATGGAATGTATCTCAAAATAAGAGATATTTATGACAAACCCACAGCCAATAACATACTGAATGGGCAAAAACTGCAAGCATTCCCTTTGAAATCTGGCACCAGACAAGGATGCCTCTCTCACCACTCCTATTCAACATAGTGTTGGAAGTTCTCGCCAGGGCAATCAGGAAAAGAAAAAAATACAGGGTATTCAATTAGCAAAAGAGGAAGTCAAATTGTCACTGTTTGCAGATGACATGATTGTGTATTTAGAAAACCCCATCATCTCAGCCCAAAATCTCCTTAAGCTGATAAGCAACTTCATGTTGCTTATGTCTTATTGCTTCATGTTGCTTATTATGTCTCAGGATAGAAAATCAATGTGCAAAAATCACACGCATTCCTACACACCAATAACAGACAAACAGAGAGCCAAATCATGAGTGAACTCCCTTTCACAATTGCTACAAAGAAAATAAAATACCTAGGAATCCAACTTACAAGGGATGTGAAGGACCTCTTCAAAGAGAACTACAAACTACTGCTCAACGAAATAAAAGAGGACACAAACAAATGGAAGAATATTCCATGCTCATGTACAGCAAGAATCAATATCATGAAAATGGCCATACTGCCCAAGGTAATTTATAGATTCAATGCCATCCCCACCAAGCTACCAATGACTTTCCTCACAGAATTGGAAAAAACTACTTTAAAGTTCATATGGAACCAAAAAAGAGCCCACATTGCCAAGACAACCCTAAGCAAAAAGAACAAAGCTGGAAGCATCACCCTACCTGACTTCAAACTATACTACAAGGCTACAGTAATCAAAACAGCAGGGTACTAGTACCAAAACAGAGATATAGACCAATGCAACTAAACAGAGGCCTTGGAAATAACACCACACATCTAGTACCATCTGATTTTTGACAAATCTGACAAAAAGAAGAAGTGGGGAAAGGATTCCCTATTTAATAAATGGTGCTGGGAAAACTGGTTAGCCATATGTGGAAAGCTGAAACTGGATCCCTTCCTTACACCTTATACTAAAATTAATTCAAGATGGATTAAAGAGTTAAATGTTAAACCTAAAATCATAAAAACCCTAGAAGAAAACCTAGGCAATACCATTCAAGACATAGGCATGGGAAAGAACTTCATGACTAAAACACCAAAAGCAATGGCAACAGAAACCAAAATAGATAAATGGGATTTAATTAAACTAAAGGGCTCCTGCACAGCAAAAGAAACTACCATCAGAGTGAATAGGCAACCTACAGAATTGGAAAATATTTTGGCAATCTACCCATCTGACAAAGGGCTAATATCCAGAATCTACAAAGAACTTAAACAAATTTACAAAAAAAACAACAACAACAACAACAACATCAAAAAGTGGGCAAAGGATATGTACAGACACTTCTCAAAAGAAGGCATTTATGCAGCCAATCGACATATGAAAACATGCTCATCATCACTGGTCATCAGAGAAATGCAAATCAAAACCACAATGAGATACCATCTCACACCAGTTAGAATGGAGATCATTAAAAAGTCAGGACACAACAGGTGCTGGAGAGGATGTGGAGAAATAGGAACACTTTTGCACTGTTGGTGGGACTGTAAACTAGTTCAACCACTGTAGAAGACAGTGTGGCAATTCCTCAATGATCTAGAACTAGAAATACCATTTGACCCAGCCATGTCATTGCCTGGTATATACCCAAAGGATTATAAATCATGGTACTATAAAGACACATGTACAAGTATGTTTACTGTGGCACTATTCACAATAGCAAAAACTTGGAACCAACTGAAATGTCCATCAATTACAGACTGGATTAAGAAAATGTGGCACATATACATCATGGAATACTATGCAGCCATGAAAATGGATGAGTTCATGTCCTTTGTAGGGACATGGATGAAGCTGGAAACCATCATTCTGAGCAAACTGTCACAACGACAGAAAACCAAACACCACATGTTCTCACTCATAGGTGGGAACTGAACAATGAGAACACTTGGACACAGGGTGGAAACATCACACATGGGGGCCTGTCATGGGGTGGGGGCAGGGGGAGGGATAGCATTAGGAGAAATACGTAATGTAAATGATGAGTTAATGGGTGCAGCAAACCAACATGGCACATGTATACCTAGGTAACAAACCTGCACATTGTGCACTTGTACCCTAGAACTTAAAGTATAATAAAAAAAAGTTAGCTTTAGTTATTGCCTAAAAATCATGATTTCATAATATATTTATTCATGGTATTAAAAATATCTTAGAATTTGATTAGGTATCCTCAAAAATTTTGAGTTATATTTAAAATTATGTTTTTGTTCATCAAAAATTTTCTCAGTTGCATTTGAAATTCTGTTTATATTCACACACAACAGTAAATTTCTGAATGTATTCACTGATTCTAATTTTTAAAAATAATTATCTGCTGCACATTCTTTCTGACAAACTACTAAAGAATGTAAGGAAAATATTTATTCCCAATTAGAAAATAATATTAATGGGAAGAATCCTTCCACTCTTAAAGGACAAAAATGCTTCTCAACTGTGATCCAATAATACCTAATGTATATTAATAATTAATATTTATGTTTCCAAATTTATCTTAAAAGGACATGTATACTACTAACAGACATAATGCCATCTTGTTTTTAATACTGGCATTTATCTAATTTTTGGAGATATTTTTATCGGAAAACACTATGACAAGAATATAGGAGAGTAAGGCAAGTGTCAATATGGAACACAGAATGAAATAATTAATATGGTTTCCAATCTACTGGGGTCAAAAGTTTTCAGCATGGCATTGATTTAATATAGGCATTAACAATGGTTGAGATTTTGACAGACGGAGTTATAAGAGGACTCATTCTAATCAGAAGAAATAGTATTATCCAAAGTATGAAAACTATAAGTTGCTGAAGCCCGGAGAACATGTGGGGAAAAAGACAAAATTAAAGATAGTGAGGGGCATGTTAGTAACATCTCAAATGTTAAAATTCAGATAAGTCCTTAATTTAATGAGCAATGGGAAATCACTGGAAATCTTAAGGAGGGGAGAAATATGATCCGAGCTGTACTGTAGAAAGCTTAAATTGCAGGAAGACCTAGAGTGAGAGAATAAGGAGGCAATAAGAAAAGTTAAAAGCTGTACTTTTGGTAAGATGTTTAAAGGGAGTGATGTTTTTGAGATAGCAAGCCAATATGGATTCGCTTCTGGTAATGCCTATGTCCTAATTATCTTCTGACTCTCCAATTCATTGTTTCAATGGTATTTGTTATTTTGTGTGATTCACCTGATTGAGCCAGAAATAAGGAAGTCACTGTTCCACTTTGAGGTGCAAACTAGACTTACTGAGACCCTTAGTGAACAAAACTAAAGTCTTACAAGGCCGTGTGTGTGTGCGTGCATGTGCGTTTGCCTGCACGTTTGTGTGTCCATCCCAGTGAGACACACACACACACACACACACACACAGAAAGAGAGGGAGAGAGAAATGTTTTAAATTTCCCAATTTTCCCATTGAATATCGTAGAAAAGTTTTTGTAAACTAACCACAAAATTATACTATGCGCCATACAGTAGAGAGGATATAGTATATGATTTTATGATAGTGGAGCAAAATTTCCTTTAATGACAAAAGAGGGAAAACATTTTTGGAATAGGGATAAAGTGAATAAATTTGAAGACAATAGTTGCTGATTTTTCTGAGAAGGATTCCAGGGCTATAATCCTTTTCCCTTGAGCCTCAAAAGGATGCTGCCTTGCAGGGCACTCCATGCCAACAAGAATAACCCTCATGAAGTAAAAACATTTATATGATTAGGCAAAAAGAAAGCATAAAATAGTGCTATTGGTATATTTTAACCTTCAAATAGCATATTTAATACTAACTGAGAGATATTCAAGTGATCTGAAAGTGCAAAATACTGTTCTTTTCCTGCTTTGAGTGAGAAGCATTCAATACTGATGCCATGAAATCTAACACTGAAACTTCATCTGATGTAGCACAAATCCTTTCAAATCACAAAGACAGTAGGCTCATTAGATATAAGTATCAGAATCAACATTTTGTTTTACCAAATTTGGCTTTCTGAGAAGTAGAATATACTGCTTTCAACCCCTACTCTGTAATTTAGTACAAATCCATGTAGAAATGAAGAATAAGACCCTCTTATTGCCTGAAGAAATGATTTAACAACTTTAGGAGATCTCCTTTGCCTATTCTCTACTAAACATAAGAAGACTTTGAAAAAGGAGCATGGACAATCAAAAAGATGTTTGGCCATTTATTATGCTACCTGTAAAGGAGAACATTAATATGCCAGGGGGATAGGGTTCCCAGATTCGCTGCTGTACTTAGGGCATCAGGTTTGACATTTCATTTGCAATAAAACTTACAAATTCTGGAAAGACAAGATCCAGCCAAGTAGGAACAGGTACTCTAAGTGCTGTCCCTGGCATTACCATATAGATGGAGATATAAATATACATGAAGCATACTATCACTTGTTGAATCACATTGTATTTGATGTTCAGACAGTTTAAGATTTCCGCACATTGAATATCAAAGTACAAAAAGAAAGTATCATTATATATCAAATAACACATTTAAATCCTAAGAGAAAATAAAAGAAAGATACTATTGGAAAAATTGTGACTCTAATAACAAAATAATTAGATAAAGAGAAATGCCTTATAAGGCTGTCTTACTCATCTGAAAAGAAGAATAAAACCATTTTCCTCTTCTTGTTACTTTTCCTCCTATGTTGTTACTTCTTAATTTCAACTTACAGTATTAAGCACTTTCTCAAAATTTTCTTAAAATGACTATTAGTATTTAAGTTCTGGTAAATAAGTCTGATTTCGAATAACAACAACATAAGTTTTGGCTGCTGAAAGACATCAACACAAACAGATGAATTTAGGATCATTCTATCTAGAGTAGTTTATTTTTCTAGAGGGCAAATTATACAATAATTATAGAGAGATCTGAGCTAGTGTTAGGTTAACTGCACAAGACTCTAGCACAGATTAAATGTCCTTGAAAGAATCCACTACAATAAACAATTGAAACTGAAGCCAGATCAATGAGATTGAAGAGTAAATTGACCATCAGTAACGTCGTACATGGAAGAAAATATAGAGATGGAAGGATTTCTTTTTTTGTAAGTATCACTGCTATAAGAGTATGTCCCAATGAGAAGAAATTATTAGCAGGAATAAGGTGAAAATGCAGGAAAAGGAATAATAACCCAAAATACATCCCAGAAAAGGTGGCAGCAAATGAAATCTAGGGCATAAGTGAAGAAACTGTTGTGACAAGAGAAGGAAGGTGTCTGGCATTTAAAAGGAGAGAAGACAGAAAACATGCAAATGAAGAAAGATTTACGGATTTGATTTCAGAAAGATGAAGAAGTTCCTGTTTTACAGCTTTTATTTATGGTTAGTCATCTCAGTTGGACCCTCATCATTGCTCAAAATTTTTGAATATTTTAAAGCTTTTCTTAAATTAAAATTTAATTCTTTTAACTTAATAATTTTAATTTTTAATTTAATAATTTAATTCTAATAATTTAATTCTTTTGATGACCCTAAAAGTTATTTGAAAAACAAGGAGAATAAATATGAGAAATTCTGGGGAGACAACATTTATGACAACATAAAAAGTAAATTTCTAAGGATCAGAACAGTTGTAAAATTTTTTTAAAAGTAGGGAGTTTTTCATTATTAAAGTGAAGGACAGAGCAAATGATGGTGTAATAGTGATTTTGTGGAGTAGAAATAAGCATCTAATGGTTGACCACACTAGGTAAAGTCCAAGGATTATTTCATTTATTATTTGTTAGTGTTTTATCTGTAATATACTCTAATTATTGTAATGGGATACTTCAAGTACATACAATAGTAGATATAATGAACCCCTATTTGGCCATCACCTCCCTTCAACAATTATCAATATCATATATTATCAACATAAACAATATTATATACTTATGTCCCCAAGTATCTACCCCCTCTATTTTGAAGCAAGTCTCAGATATTACATTCACTCATCCATGAATATCTCAGCATTATTTCTAAAACATAGGGTCTTAATAACACTTTTCTTGCCACAGTTAAAATAATAATAATGTAAATTATATTAAAATACTTAGTATTTCTTAATATCAGTGTTCAGTTTTTAAGGATGTGATAAAACACAAGTTTCTATGATTCTAACCAAATATGGTCTTGTTCTTGAATCCCTTTAATGGAAAACTGTCAACCATTCTAAACTGTATATATCGATGTTACATTAATTTTTACTGTTTCTCCATCCCCTTCAATATCCTGTTATCTTTTCTATCTTACAATTTTTTTGATAGTTTCTGCAAGAGATTAATAGAATAAAGGGAGATATAATTAACCATGTATTTTCAAATATGTGAAGATATAGCAAGTAAAAGAGAGAAGTAATTCATTCTATATCATTCATAAGACAAAATTAGAATCATTAGATGAAAATGATATGGAAAGTTGACCCTCTCTACTTGTTCATGACTCCCAAATTGTATTTTATTTCTGACATCTCAATAGAGCTACAGGCTCCTATTTCCAAAGTTCTTCTTGATATCTTGTATTAGTCCGTTCTCATGCTGCTAATAAAGACATACTCAACACTGGGTAATTTATAAAGGAAAGAGGTTTAATGGACTCACAGTTCCACATGGCTGGGGAGGGCTCACAATCATGGAGGAAGATGAAGAAAGAGCAAAAAGCCATCTTACATGGCAGCAGGGAAGAGGGCATATGCAGGGGAACTCCCCCTTATAAAACCATTCAGTATCACAAGAACAGCATGGGCAAAATCTACCCCTATAATTCAATTACCTCCTAGCAGGTCCCTCCCATGAAACGTGGGGATTATTACAATTCAAGGTGAGATTTGGTTGGAGACACAGAGCCAAACCATATCACATTTCCAAATAGATACCTAATAGGCATCTCAAAATCATTATGACAAGCCCAAAGAATTATGGGATATTCTTTTAAGCCTCTAGGTTTTAGGATTTTTTTTTTTAAGGCCAGAAAAGCCTATGTTACTTTAATAATAAACATTGGCCTTGGAAGAAAATTGCTTGAGATTGAATTCTGCCTTTTCTACTTAATAGCTATGTGATTTTAGAAAGGTGGCATCCTTCTCTGTGCCCCTACTTCCTCATCTGTAAATGGGAGATTGCCTTAATATAGTACATGTAGCAGTTCAAAAGATTAAATGAGCACTTAAAACTGCGCCTGATATAGAGTAACATAAAATCAGGCATCAATATTTTTAAATGACCCAATTTTAATTTTCTGTAAAGCTCTTATCATTATCCAGTATTCATCTCATATGCATAGTTACTGGTTTACTTCTTTCTATCATTTTAAAAAGAATGTCTGGGAAAAAGGTTCCAAGATGGCCAAATAGGAAGAGCTCCAGTCTACAGCTCCCAGCGTGAGTGATGCAGAAGATGGGTGATTCCTGCATTTTCAACTGAGGTACCAGGTTCATCTCACTGGAGCTTGTTGGACAGTGGGTGCAGGACAGTGGGTGCAACCCAAGGACCAGGAGCAGGAGCAGGAGCAGGGCAACGCATTGGCATTGCCTCACCCAGGAAGCGCAAGTGGTCAGGGAATTCCCTTTCCAAACCAAGGGAAGCCGTAACAAATGGCACCAGGAAATTCAGGTCACTCCCACAGTAATACTGCACTTTTCCCACGGTCTTAGCAAATGGCATACCAGGAGATTATATCCCGTGCCTGGCTCAGAGGGTCCCACACCCATGGAGCCTTGCTCACTGCTAGCACAGCAGTCTGAGATCAAACTGCAAGGTGGCAGCAAGGCTGGGGGAGGGGCGTTTGCCATACCTGAGGCTTGAGTAGGTAAACAAAGCAGCCAGGGAAGCTTCAACTGGGTGGAGCCCACCACAGCTCAAGGAGGCCTGCCTGCCTCTGTAGACTCCACCTCTGGGGGCAGGGCATAGCTGAACAAAAGGTAGCAGAAACTTCTGCAGACTTAAATGTCCCAGTCTGACAGCTTTGAAGAGAGTAGTGGTTCTCCCAGCACAGAGTTTGAGATCTGAGGATGGACAGACTGCCTCCTCAAGTGGGTCCCTGACCCATGAGTAGCCTAACTGGGAGGCACCTCCCAGTAGGGGCCGACTGACACCTCATACAGCCGGGGGCCCCTCTGAGACAAAGCTTCCAGAGGAAGCATCAGGCAGCAATATATGCCGTTCTGTAATATTTGCAGTTCTGCAGCCTCCGCTGGTGATACCCAGGCAAACAGGGTCTGGAGTGGACCTCCAGCAAACTCCAACAGACCTGCAGCTGACGGTCTTCACTGTTAGAAGGAAAATCAACAAACAGAAAGGACATCCACACCAAAACACCATCGGTATGTCACAATCATCAAAGACCAATGGTAGATAAAACCACAAAGATGGGGAGAAACCAGAGCAAAAAAGCTGAAAACTCTAAAAATCAGAGTGCCTTCAAAGGAATGCAGCTCCTTGCCAGCAACAGGACAAAGCTGGATGGAGAATGACTTTGACAAGTTGAGAGAAGAAGGCTTCAGAAGATCGGTAATAACAAACTTCTCTAAGCTAAAGGAAGATGTCTGAACCCATTGCAAAGAAGCTAAAAACATTGAAAAAAGATTAGACGATGGCTAACTAGAATAAACAGCGTAGAGAAGACCTTAAATGACCTGATGGAGCTGAAAACCATGGCATGAGAACTACGTGATGCATGCACAAGCTTCAAGAGCCGATTCGATCAAGTGGAAGAAAGGGTATCAGTAATTGAAGATCAAATGAATGAAATGAAGTGAGAAGAGAGGTTTAGAGAAAAAACAGTAACAAGAAATGAACAAAGCCTCTAAGAAATATGGGACTATGTGAAAAGACTAAATCTACATCTGATTGGTATATCTGAAAGTGATGGGGAGAATGGAACCAAGTTGGAAAACACTCTGCGGGATATTATCCAGGAGAACTTCCCCAAATTAGCAAGCAGGCCAACATTCAAATTCAGGAAATACAGAGAACGCCACAAAGATACTCCTTGAGAAGAGCAACTCCAAGACACATAATTGTTAGATTCACCAAAGTAGAAATGAAGGAAAAAATGTTGAGGGCAATGAGAGAGAAAGGATGGGTTACCCAAATAGGGAAGCCTAACAGCGGATCCCTCGGCAGAAACTCTACAAGCCAGAAGAGAGTGGGGGCTAATATTCAACATTCTTAAAGAAAAGAATCTTCAACTCAGAATTTCATAACCAGCCAAACTAAGCTTCATAAGGGAAGGAGAAACAAAATCCTTTACAGACAAGCAAATGCTGAGAGATTTTGTCACTACAAGGCCTGCCTTACAGGAGCTCCTGAAGGAAGCACTAAACATGGAAAGGAACAACTGGTACCAGCCACTGCAAAAACATGCCAAATTGTGAAGACCATTGATGCTAGGAAGAAACTGCATCAACTAATGAGCAAAATGACCAGCTGACATTGTAATGACAGGATCAAATTCACACATAACAATATTAACCTTAAATGTAAATGGGCTGAATGCTCCAATTAAAAGATACAGACTGGCAAAGAGAAAGATAAAGATAAACATAAAGGTAAAGGTAAAGATAAAGATTGGATAAAGAGTCAAGACCCATCAGTGTGCTGTATTCAGGAGACCTATCTCATGTGCAGAGACACACATAGGCTCAAAATAAGGGGATGGAGGAAGATCTGCCAAGCAAATGGAAAACAAAGGGGAGCAGGGGTTGCAATCCTAGTCTCTAATAAAACAGACTTTAAAAGAACAAAGATCAAAAGAGACAAGGGAGGCTATTACATAATGGTAAAGGGATCAATTCAACAAGAAGAGCTAACTATCCTAAATATATATGAACCTAATACAGGAGCACCCAGATTCATAAAGGAAGTCCTTAGAGACCTACAAAGAGACTTAGACTCCTACACAATAGTAATGGGAAACTTTAACACCCCACTGTCAACATGAGACAGATCAACGAGACAGAAGGTTAACAAAGATATCCAGGAATTGAACTCAGCTCTGCACTAAGTGGACCTAATAGACATCTACAGAACTCTCCATCCCAAATCAACAGAATATACATTCTTCTCAGCACCACATCACACTTATTCCAAAATTGACCACATAGGTGGAAGTGAAGCACTCCTCAGCAAATGGAAAAGAACAGAAATTATAACAAACTGTTTCTCAGACCACAGTGGAATCAAATTAGAACTCAAGATTGAGAAACTAACTCAAAACCCCTCAACTACATGGAAACTGAACAACCTGCTCTTGAATGACTACTGGGTACATAAAGAAATTAAGGCAGAAACAAAGACGTTCTTTGAAACCAATGAGAACAAAGACACAACATACCAGAATCTCTGGGACACAGTTAAAGCAGTGTGTAGAGGGAAATTTATAGCACTAAATGCCCACAAGAGAAAGCAGGGAAGATCTAAAATTGACACCCTAACATCACAATTAAAACAACTAGAGAAGCAAGAGCAAATACATTCAAAAGCGAGCAGAAGGTAAGAAATAGTTAACTAAGATCAGAGCAGAACTGAAGGAAATAGAGACACAAGAAACCCTTCAAAAAATCAATGAATCCAGGAGCTGGTTTTTTGAAAAGATCAACAAAATTGATAGGCCACTAGCAAGACTAATGAAGAAGAAAAAAGAGAAGAACAAAATAGATGCAATAAAAAATGATAGAGTGGATATCACCACTGATCCCACAGAGATACAAACTACCATCAGAGAATACTATAAGCACCTCTATGCAAATAAACTAGAAAATCTAGAAGAAATGGATAAATTCCTCGACAAATGCACCCTCCCAAGACTAAACCAGGAAGAAGTTGAATCCCTGAGTAGATCACTAACAGACTCTGAAATTGAGGCAATAATTAATAGCCTACCAACCAAAAAAAGTCCAGGACCAGATAGATTCACAGCAAAATTCTACCAGAGGTACAAAGAGGAGCTGCTACCATTCCTTCTGAAACTATTCAATCAATAAAAAAAGAGGGAATCCTCCCTAACTCATTTTGGGAGGCCAGCATCATCCTGATACCAAAGCCTGGCAGAGACACAACAAAAAAAGAGAATTTTAGACCAATATCCCTGATGAACATCAATGCAAAATTCCTCAATAAAATACTGGCAAATCAAATCCAGCGGCACATCAAAAAGCTTATCCACCATGATCAAGTGGGCTTCATCTCTGAGATGCAAGGCTGGTTCAACATATGCAAATCAATAAATGTAATCCATCATATAAACAGAACCAAAGACAAAAACCACATGATGCAGAAAAGGCCTTCTACAAAATTCAACAACCCTTCATGCTAAAAACTCTCAATAAATTAGGTATTGATGGGACATATCTCAAAATAATAAGAGCTATTTTATGACAAACCCACAGCCAGTAACATACTGAATGGGCAAAAACTGGAATCACTCCCTTTGAAAACTGGCACACAAGACAGGGATGCCCTCTCTCACCACTCCTATTCAACATAGTGTTGGATGTTCTAGCCAGGGCAATCAGGCAGGAGAAAGAAATAAAGCGTATTCAATTAGGAAAAGAGGGAGTCAAATTGTCCCTGTTTGCAGATGACATGATTGTATATTTAGAAAACCCCATCATCCCAGCCCAAAGTCTCTTTAAGCTGATAAGCAACTTCAGCAAAGTCTCAGGATACAAAATCAATGTGCAAAAATCACAGGCATTTTTATACAGCAACAACAGACAAACAGAGAGCCAAATCATAAGTGAACTCTCAATCACAATTTCTTCACAGAGAATAAAATACTTAGGAATCCAACTTACAAGGGATGTGAAGGACTTCTTCAAGGAGAATTACAAACCACTGCTCAACGAAATAAAAGAGGATACAAACAAATGGAGGAACATTCCATGCTCATGGATAGGAAGAATCAATATCATGAAAATGGTCATACTGCCCAAGGTAATTTATAGATTCAATGCCATCCCCATCAAGCTACCAATGACTTTCTCCACAGAATTGGAAAAAACTACTTTAAAGTTCACATGGAACCAAAAAAAAGCCTGCATTGCCAAGACAATCCTAAGCCACAAGAACAAAGCTGGAGGCATCATGCTACCTGACTTCAAACTATACTACAAGGCTACAGTAACCAAAACAGCATGGTACTGGTACCAAAACAGAGATATAGACCAATGGAACAGAACAGAGCCCTCAGAAATCATATCACACATCTACTACCACCTGATCTTTGACAAATCTGACAAAAACAAGAAATGGGGAAAGGATTCCCTATTTTTAAAAAGCTGCTGGGAAAACTGGCTAGTCATATGCAGAAAGCTGAAACTGGATCCCTTCCTTACACCTTATACAAAAATTAATTCAAGATGAATTAAAGACTTCAATGTCAGACCTAAAACGATAAAAACTCTAGCAGAAAACCTAGGCAATACCATTCAGGACATAGGCATGGGCAAGGTCTTCATGTCTAAAACACCAAAAGCAATGGCAACAAAAGCCAGAATTGACAAATGGGATCTAATTATACTAAAGAGCTTCTGCACAGCAAAAGAAACTACCATCAGAGTGAATAGGCAACCTACAGAATGGGAGAAAATTTTTGCAATCTACCCATCTGACAAAGGGCTAATTTCCAGAATCTACAAAGAACTTAAACAAATTTATGAGAAAAAATCAACCCCATCAACAAGTGAGCAAAGGATATGAACAGACACTTCTCCAAAGAAGACATTTATGCAGCCAACAGACACATGAACAAATGCTCATCATCACTGGCCATCAGAGAAATGCAAATCAAAACCATAATGAGACACCATCTCACACCAGTTAGAATGGTGATCATTAAAAAGTCAGGAAACAACAGGTGCTGGAGAGGATGTGGAGGAATAGGAACACTTTTGCACTGTTGGTGGGACTGTAAACTAGTTCAACCATTGTGGAAGGCAGTGTGGCAATTCCTCAAGGATCTAGATCTAGAAATATTTGACCCAGCCATCCCACTGCTGGGTATATACCCAAAGGATTATAAATCATGCTGCTATAAAGACACATGCACACGTATGTTTATTGTGGCACTATTCACAATAGCAAAGATTTGGAACCAACCCAAATGTCCATCAATGATAGACTGGATTAAGAAAATGTGGCACATATGCACCATGGAATACTATGCAGCCATAAAAAAGGATGAGTTCATGTCCTTTGTAGGGACATGGATGAAGCTAGAAACCATCATTCTCAGCAAACTATCGTAAGAATAGAAAACCAAACACCACATGTTCTCACTCATAGGTGGGATTTGAACAATGAGAACATTTGGACACAGGATGCGGAACATCACACACCGGGGCCTGTCATGGGGTGGTGGGATGGGGGATGGATAGCATCAGGAGATATACCTAATGTAAATGATGAGTTAATGGGTGCAGCACACCAACATGGCATATGTATACATATGTAACAAACCTGCACGTTGCGCACATGAACCCTGGAACTTAAAGTATAATAATAAAAATAAATAAATAAATAAATAAGAATGTCTGGTACTTAGTAAGCTTTCAAGAAATACTAATTAAATGAAGGAGGGAATTTATTTTATTTTTTTAATCTATTCCCACAAGAATCAAGTCCGTTTGTCTCATTAATAGAGTTCCAGCTTCGAAAACTCTGCGTGGTATATCTTAAGAGCTCAATGAACTTTTGTTCAATGAATAAATGAGTCTCAATTGAAGAGAGTAATTTAGAACAATTAAAGGTATATAAAAATGGATTAGACCGCATTGTAAGATGCAATGTCCCATCACTAATGTAAAAATTATCTTTAAGGGTTGCTATGATAAAGGTTTTGCACTACATATATTGCATTATCATAAATTTTCTTAAATTATGAAAGACACTATAGGAGCCGTTTTGATTCTCTATTCCATGTTACTACTCTAGTCAACCTATCTATGGTAAAATCAAGCAAATAAAATAATCTTGAATTCTAGGTAGATACATTTTTGTTTGTATTCTTAAATAAAATCTATATCTACTAAAGAAATATATAGAGCATATTAAAAACATTACATCTTAAGAAATGAAGAAGTTGTATGTGAGAATTTCCTGCCTAGGCAGTTACTGTAGCTGTAAAATCTTAAAATATTCCTTCAATTAATGTTTTCAGTGTTTTAAGTGTATCATTTTTTCTCTCCTAACAGACAGTACATTTTTATCATGAATATATTTAACTATTTCATGGTACATTACCTAATTTTCATTTGAATTTTTGGTGAACAATTAAAATAGAGTTTTGCTGGCTGCCTGGGAGCAGGAGAGAGCCCGCCCCCATCACTCCCAGCACAGCTGGTGCTCCACCCTAAGGGGCCAGAAAATAAAACTGTAGACCTGGCTCCAACCCCGAGGGAATTCAAGCACACTGCCTAAGAGTATTGAGCTGATCTCTATTGGAGGAGGAGCCCCCACTATCAGAAAACTGACAAGAATGTGGAGTGGGTTCATGTGCTGGCATGGGAGCGGGGAATCTCTCCCTCTGAAAGACTGGTGCAGGAGGGTATGCGTGTTAGCCAGCAACAGCTTTTTACCCAGACAGCCCCATGGCTCTGAACACCTGGAAGAGCACAGCCATCTGGCAAGAGAAGTCTGTGGAAAAACGTAGCTGGCTGGGCCGGCTCCTGGGGCAGGTGCTGGAGAGACTCACTGGATTGGGGGAGAATGAGCTGGGCAAGCCCCACAGCTGTCAACTGGGCTAAAAATACCAGGCTGTTAGTGCCACACCAGTTGCACACCCATGAAACCACCGCCCTGCCTGGCGTTCCCTCACTCTTGACCTACCGCATCACCAGACCAACTGCAGACATATCCCAAAACTCACTGATTCTGCCAAGCTCAAAGGACCAGTGGAACCCTGGGGAATTATGGGTCTCCTGGTTACCTGACTTTCATCTTGAACTGTTCTTAATGGAGAGAAAAGCACAGCCTGCCAAAGCCTGCCTTGAGGCTAAGGAAACATAAGCACAGTGCCAGTAATTGAAAGGGGCTCCACCAAGGCCCAGGAACAGACTTGGTGAAGGAGTCCTCTCCTGCCCTCTGTCTCCCTTTCCCAGAGCATTGCTGCATACACACTGAAATGCAAAACAGGCACGCAGCTAAGAGCCTACCCTTACTCTTAAGTGCCATTTACTAAGTCACAGTCTAAACTACACCACCAAACAAAAATAAATTCCTTCACCTACAACACCTGTGAAAGCCCATGAAGGAAACTATCAACGTAAAAAACCCATACAGAGCCTTGGCCCTCTGAAAGCTCGAAGAAATAAAGCCAATTGACTATAAACAACATACACCACAATGAAAATCTCAAGGGAAAAAAAGAATATAAAAACAAAAGCCCTATACAAACAACAGCAATTTCAAAAAAAAAAGAAGAAGATAAAGAAAGAAACAAAGAAACACTGGCACCCTCAGATGAGAAAGAATCAGCACAAAAACGCCAACAGTTCAAAAAGCCTGAGTGATTCCTTACCTGCAAAAATTGCATTAGCTCCCTGGTGGATCCTAACCAGATTGAAATGTCTGAAATGACAGACATAAAATTCAGAATCAGGGTGACAAAGAAGATCAACAAGATTCAAGAGAATGTTGAAATCCAAACGCTGAAATCGAAAGAAAGCCAAAAAATGAATCCAGACTGGAAAGCCAATATCACCATATTAAGAAGGAACCCACTGAAATTCTGGAATTGAAAAATTCACTACAGAAATTTCAAAATATATTTGGAAGTCTTAGCAACAGAATAGACCAAGCTGAGGAAAGAATTTAAGAACTCAAAGACCAGTTCTTTGAATCAGTACAGTTAGATGAACATAAAAATAATAATTTTAAAAAATGAACAAAGCCTCCAAGAAATATGTGATTGTACAGAGAGACCAAATCTATGATTCATTGGCATTCCTGAGAGAGAAGAGGAGAGAGTAGTAGGCCACTTGGAAAACATATTTTCTAGAGAGGATAGCATGCAAATTCAAGAAATTCAGAGAATATTTGCAAGATATTATATCAGACGAACATCCCCAAGACACATAGTCATCAGACTTTTGAAGGTCAATGTGCAAGAAAAAATGTTAATTGAAGCTAAACAAAAGGGTCATATCACTTTCAAAGGGAAACATATTAGGCTAACAGTTGACACCTTGGCTTGAACCTTAAAAGCCAGAAGAGATTAGGAGTCCATTTCCAGTATCCTTAAAGAAAAAACATCCCAAACAACAATTTCATATCCTGCCAAACTAAGCTGCATAAGCAAAGGAGAAATAAAATATTTGTCAGGCATGCAAGCAATAAGAGAGTCTATTACCACTATACAAGCATTACAGTGACGCCGAAGAGAGATTTAAAGATAGAAATGAAAGAAAAATACTCACTACCACAGAAACACACTTAAGTACATAGCCCACAGACCCTAAAATGTAACTACACTATCAAGACTTCAAAGCAACCAGCTAACAACACGACAGCAGGATCAAAACCTCACATATCAATATTAAGCTTAAATGTGAATGGTCTAAACACCCTACTTAAAAGGCAGAGTGACAAGCTGGAAAGAAAACAAGACCTAACCTTTTTCTGCCTTCAAGAGAACATCTCACATGTTATGACACCAATAGGCTCAAAGTAAAGGGACAGAGAAGAACTATTATGCAAATGGATAACAAAAAAAGAGTAGGGAACACTATTCATGTATTAGATAAAACATACTTTAAACCAATGGCAATAACAAAAGACAATGAAGAGCATTACATAACGATATTAGTTTCAATTGAACAAAAAGACTGAACTATTTTATACACATATGTACCCAGTTTTGGAGGACCCAGATTCATAAACAAGTATTTCCAGACCTACAAAAAGACTTAGACAGACACAGAATAATAGGGGATATTTTGACACCCCACTAACAGTGTTAGACAGATCATCAAGGCAGAAAACTAACAAAGAAATACTGAACTTAAATTCAAAACTTGACCAATTAGACCTAATAGACATCAACAGAGTATTCCACCTAAAATCAAACAATGTATGTTCTCATCTGCACACAGTACATACTTTAAGACTGACAACAGTCTGGGCCATAAAGCAAGTCTCAACAAATTTTTTAAAAATCAAAATCCTATCAAGCATGTTCTAGAACCACAGTAGAAAAAAAACTAGAAATCAATATGAAGAGCATCTGAAAAACCATGCAATTACACAGAAACTAAATAACTTGTTTCTGAATGCCCTTTGTAAAAACAATGAAATTAAGGCAGAAATCCAAAACTTGTTGGAAATAAAAAAAAAACAAAGACACAATATACCAAAATCTCCAGAATGCATTAAAAAAAAGCTTTAAGAGGACAGGTTATAGTGCTAAATGCTTACATCAAGAAGATAGAAAGATGTCAAATTAAGAAAAGAACATCAACCTGGAAACTAGAGAAAATGACAACAAACTAGCCCCAAAGGTACCATAAGAAAATAAATAACTAAAATCCAAATAGAACTAAACGAAATTGAGACCCAAAAATTCATACAAAAGATCAACAAAAATAAAAATTGGTTCTTTGAAAGAATAAATGAGGTCTATAGAATGTTATCTAGACTCACAGAGAAAAAAAGAGAGATCCAAATATGCAAATCAGAAACAACAAAAATGACACTATAATCAATCCCATAGAAATGCAAAAGATCCTCAGAGACCATTATGAACACCTATATGCACATCAACTAGAAAATCTAGAAAAAAAATGGATAAATTCCTGGAAACACATGACCAACAAATATTGAATCAAGAAGAAATTAAAACCCTGAACAGACCAATAATGAGTTCTAAAATTGAGTCAGTGATTTAAAATACCTACCAAAGAATAAAAACCCTTTGTATATTCTGCCAGATAAACAAAGAAGAGCTGGTACAAAAGCTACTGAGACTATTCCAAAAAAACCAAAAAGGAGGGACTTATCTCTAACACATTGTACAAAGTTAGCATTGTCTTGATACCAAAATCTGACAAAGACACAATAAAAAAAGGAAACTATAGGCTAATATCCCTGATGAACATAGATACAAAAAGCCTTAATAAAATACTGCCAAGCCAAACCCAGCAGCACATAAAGCAGTTAATTCAACACAATCAAGTAGGCTTTATTCCTGGGATGCAATGTGGGTTCAACATGCACAAATCAATAAGTGTGATTTACCACATAAACAGAATTGAAAACAAAAACCATATGATAATCTCAATAGATGAAGAAAAAGCTTTCAATAAAATACAACACCACTTCATGATTAAAAAAATACTAAAGAAACTAGGCATTGAAGTAACATACTTTAAAATAATAAGAGCCATCTATGACAAACCCTTAGCCAACTTTATACTGAATGGGCAAAAGCTAGAGGCATTCCCCCTGGGATAAGACAAAGATGCCCACTCACATCACTCCTATTCAACATAGT
Source organism: Homo sapiens (assembly GCF_000001405.40). NCBI lineage: Eukaryota > Metazoa > Chordata > Mammalia > Primates > Hominidae > Homo > Homo sapiens. The sequence goes on along the minus strand of NC_000004.12, from coordinate 91,143,509 downwards.
ACTGGAAGTCCTAATTAGAGCAATCAGGCAAGATAAATAAATAAAAAGCATACAAATAGAAAAAGAAGTCAAATTATCTCTCTTCACTGATGACATAATCTTATACCTAGAAAATGCTACATAATCTGCCAAAAGGTACCCAGAGCTGATAAACAACTTCAGTAAAGTTTCAGGATACAAAGTAAATATACAAAAATCTTTAACATTTCTATACGCCAATAATGTTCAAGTTGAGAGCCAAATAAAAAAAAAAAATCAAATTCACAATAGCCGCACACACAAAAAAATACCTAGAAACACATCTAACCAAGGAGGTGAAAGATCTCTACAAGGAAAACTACAAAAAACTGCTGAAAGAGATCAGTGATGACATAAACAAATGAAAAAAATACTCCATGTTCATGGATTGGAAGAATCAATGTCCTTAAAATGGCCCTACTGCCCAAAGCAATCTACAGATTCAACACTGTTCCTATAAAATTAGCGACATCATTTTTCACAGTATTAAGAAAAACTATTCTAAAATTCAGATAGAACCAAAAAAGAGTTCAAATAGCCAAATTAACCCTAAGCAAAAAGAACAAAGCAGGAGGGATTACATTACCCAAATTCAAACTACCCTACAAAGTTACAGTAACCAAAATAGCATGGTGCTGGTAAAAAAACAGACACAAAGTCCAATGGAAGAGAATAGAGAATGCAGAAAAAAGCCACACAACTACAGCCACCTAATCTCTTACAAAGTCTACAGAAATACACTATAAGGAAAGGACTCTCGATTCAATAAATGATGTTGCAATAACTGGCTAACTACATGCAGAAGAAAGAAACTAAACTCCTACTTTTCAATTCTCGTATACTTGTACATATACAAGAATTAACTCTAGGTGGATTAAAGATTTAAAAGCAGGACCTTGAACTATGAAAATCCTGTAAGAAAACTGAGGAAACACCATGTTGGACATCAGCCTTGGCAAATAATTGATGATTAAGTCCTCAAAAGCAATCACAACAAAAACAAAAATTACCAAGTGGATCTAATTAAAGTATAGAGTTTTGCACAGCAAAAGAAACTAACAGAGTATATTAGTCTGTTCTCATGTTGCTAATAAAGACATACCCAACACTGGGTAATTTATAAAGGAAAGAGGTTTAATGGATTCACAGTTCCACATGGCTAGGGAGACCTCACAATCATGGCAGAAAGCAAGAGACAGTCAAAGGCACATCTTACATGGTGGCAGGCAAGAGAGAGCTTGTTCAGGGGAACTCTCCTTTATAAAACCATGAGATCTTGTGACACTTATTCACTACCACAAGAACAGTATGGGGGAAATTGCCCCCATGATTCAATTATCTCCACCTGTCCCCCACCCTTGACACGTGGGGATTATTACAATTCAAGGTGAAATATGGGTGGGGACACAACAAAACCATATCACAGGGTAAGCAGACAATCTGCAGAATTGGAGAAAATATTCACAAATTTTGAATCTGACAAAGGTCTAATATCCAGAATCTATAAGGAACTTAAATCAACAAATAAAAAACAAGTAACATCATTAAAAGATATGAACAGACACTTCTCAAAAGAAGACATGCAAGCAGCTAACAAACATAGGAAAAAATGCTCAAAATCTCTAATCAAATAAATGCAAATCAAAACAACAATGAAATACCATCTGAGTCAGAATGGCTTTTATTAAAAGGGCCAAAAACAACTGTTGGTGAGGCTGCAGAGAAATGGGAATGCTTATACACTGTTGGTTGGGATGTAACTTAATTCAGCCACTGTAGAAAGCAGTTTAGAGATTTCTCAAAGAACTAAAAATAGAACTACCACTCAACCCAGCAGTCACATTACTCAGTATTTACCCAAAGGAAAAAAAAATTGTTCTACCAAAAAGACACAAGCACTCATATGTCCATTGCAGCACTATTCACAATAGCAAAGACATGGAATCAACGTAGGTGCTCATCAGTAGTGGATTGGATAAAGAAAATGTGGTACATATACACCATGAGACACTACACCATCATAAAAAAAGAATGAAATTGGGCCAGGCATGGTGGTTCATGCCTATAATCCCAGCACTTTGGGAGGCCAAGGCGGGCAGATCACCTGAGGTCAGGAGTTCGAGACCACCCTGGCCAACATGGTGAAAACCAGTCTCTATTAAAAATACAAAAATTAGTCAGGTGGTGGCAGGTGCCTGTAATTCCAACTACTCAGGAGGCTGAGGCAGGAGAATCACTTGAACTCAAGAGGTAGAGGTTGCAGTGAGCCGAGATTGTGCCACTTCACTCCAGCCTGGGTGACAGTGAGACTCTGTCTCAAAAAGAAAAAAAAAAAAAAGAATGAAATCATATCCTTTGCAGCAACATGGATGGAGCTGGAGGCCATTATCCTAAGTAAAAAGTAAATTAATGTAGAAACAGAAAACCAAATACCACATTTTCACTTTTAAGTGGGAGCTAAACATTGGACATACATGACCATAAACATGGCAACAGTAGACACTGGGTACTATAAAAACTGGGAGGGAAGGAGGGGTGCCAGGGTTGAGAAACTACCTATTGGATGCTCTTCTCACTACTTGGGTGACAGGTCCAATCATATCACAAACCTCAGCATTGTGCAATATATGCCTGCATCAAAACTGGACAAGTACCCCCTGAAGCCAAAATAAAGTTGAAATTTAAAAAGTAATAAAAGAAAAGACAAGAAAACTGAATCAGATGTCTTCCTTAATATCAGGCTATATTCAAATACCATGTGGGAATGGAATTTAGGCATCAAAAGCAATCAGTGAAAAAACATGATTTCCAACTACTAATTTTTATTGCAAAAATCATGTCACTCCAGCTGAGTAATTAATTTTTACTAGGAGAAATGTACAGGTTGTATGGAAGAAATTTCCTTTTTAATAAAACATAATGAATTAATACTTTCTTGAATTCCAAATGGTAAAGATTGTGTTTTATACTTTTTATAGACTCAGAAAAGAAGAATGTAAATATATTCTAATAGCCAAAATATTAAGTATTTTTTAAAAAACAGCTTTTAAAAGTTATTCTAAATCTGGAAGACCAAGAGCTTAGAAAACAGTTTTATAATTGGAGTTTTAAAGGACTATTATTAAGCAATATTACCAATAAATTGATATCTTAAAAGTAAAATATATTTAATATTTTAGTATAATTTATGCAGCTATAATAATCACACAAAAATGAATTAAAATCCTTTTATTTTCTGCTTTTCTATTATCTTTTTCTCATCATTATACTATATTACCAAATATAAATGGTGTGGTTCAAGGAAGGGAACAATTTTTCTAATATATATTAAGAGCCTGAAGTTTAAATCTAAAAATAATTTCATACACTCTACCTTTATTCCTAATAATTATCTAACCAGTCATTAGGAATAAAGCACAATGTCAATGAGATCATTTTTCATTATTTCTGTGCATCTATAAAAGAACTATTTAATAAGAATCATCTAAGAAAATTAAACAAGAAATATTTAACTTACTCCCAAGGTACATGTAATTTCTCCTCAGTTAACTTTTTCTCATGAACAAGTACTTTCTTTGTACTTTTTCAAAATAAGAAGCTGTAAAGCAAACTAGTCTCAATGGACTGGCTGAAAAAAAGTACTTGGCATATCTATACAAAAGGTTTTCAGAGAAGCAATTGGTATTGCTCTTATTTTTAAACACTGTTCTTTTTGTTGATTACAAATGTATATTAGACACTAGATAAGTGTTTAACATAATTTCCAAAATTTAATTTTCTAGATTTCACATATCAGCTCTACTCTTAAATGTTAACACAAATATTTATGATATTTTATATGCATTTTGCTATGGGTCTTGAAAGATAGCTTTTATTAATCAGAACACTTCAGGACTCCAACACTCTATTCCTGCAAAGTTCCTAACTACAATGACTACATTTGTCCCCTTCTCTGCATCACACTACCTCTTGTATCTTTTTTCTTTTTGTTCAATATCTGCTAAGAGAAAAATGCAAATCGCAGCGCACTTAGAAATAATAAAGCCTCTTATTCTAATATGATTCTTTTATAAATTGAGAAAAATGAGTCCTCAAATTGTTGTTCTGAAGAAGGATGTAGCACAATGCTCAGCACAAAATAGACGATAAGTGGTATTTAAATAGTAAAGATAGGGAACCAATCTAGTTTCCCATCAATGGTGGACTGGAGACTGGATAAAAAAAAAATGTGGTACATATACACCTTGGAATACTATGCAGCCATAAAAAAGAATGAAAACATCATGTACCTTACAGCAACATGGATTCAGCAGGAATTCATTCTTCTAAATGAATTAACCCAAGAGCAGAAAACCAAATACCACATGTTTTTACTTGTAAGCAGGAGCTAAACACTGAGTACTCAGGGACATAAAGATGGCAACAACAGACACTAGGGACTGCTTGAGCAAAGAGGAAGGGAGAGGGGCAAGGTTTGAAAAGCTACCTATGATGTACTATGCTCACCACCTGGGTGACAGATCATTCATAGCCCAAACCTCAGCATCATGCCATATGCCCATGTAACAAACCTGCAATGTAACCCCAGAATCTAAAATAAAGGTAGAACTTATTTTTTTAAAAAGAATTTTTCTGATGGCCAGTGATGATGAGCATTTTTTCATGTGTTTTTTGGCTGCATAAATGTCTTCTTTTGAGAAGTGTCTGTTCATGTCCTTCGCCCACTTTTTGATGGGGTTGTTTGTTTTTTTCTTGTAAATTTGTTTGAGTTCATTGTAGATTCTGGATATTAGCCCTTTGTCAGATGAGTAGGTTGCGAAAATTTTCTCCCATGTTGTAGGTTGCCTGTTCACTCTGATGGTAGTTTCTTTTGCTGTGCAGAAGCTCTTTAGTTTAATTAGATCCCATTTGTCAATTTTGGCTTTTGTTGCCATTGCTTTTGGTGTTTTGGACATGAAGTCCTTGCCCACGCCTATGTCCTGAATGGTAATGCCTAGGTTTTCTTCTAGGGTTTTTATGGTTTTAGGTTTAACGTTTAAATCTTTAATCCACCTTGAATTGATTTTTGTATAAGGTGTAAGGAAGGGATCCAGTTTCAGCTTTCTACATATGGCTAGCCAGTTTTCCCAGCACCATTTATTAAATAGGGAATCCTTTCCCCATTGCTTGTTTTTCTCAGGTTTGTCAAAGATCAGATAGTTGTAGGTATGCGGTGTTATTTCTGAGGGCTCTGTTCTGTTCCATTGATCTATATCTCTGTTTTGGTACCAGTACCATGCTGTTTTGGTTACTGTAGCCTTGTAGTATAGTTTGAAGTCAGGTAGTGTGATGCCTCCAGCTTTGTTCTTTTGGCTTAGGATTGACTTGGCGATGCGGGCTCTTTTTTGGTTCCATATGAACTTTAAAGTAGTTTTTTCCAATTCTGTGAAGAAAGTCATTGGTAGCTTGATGGGGATGGCACTGAATCTGTAAATTACCTTCGGCAGTATGGCCATTTTCACGATATTGATTCTTCCTACCCATGAGCATGGAATGTTCTTCCATTTGTTTGTATCCTCTTTTATTTCCTTGAGCAGTGGTTTGTAGTTCTCCTTGAAGAGGTCCTTCACATCCCTTGTAAGTTGGATTCCTAGGTATTTTATTCTCTTTGAAGCAATTGTGAATGGGATTTCACTCATGATTTGGCTCTCTGTTTGTCTGTTGTTGGTGTATAAGAATGCTTGTGATTTTTGTACATTGATTTTGTGCAAATCAAAACCACTATGAGATATCATCTCACACCAGTTAGAATGGCAATCATTAAAAAGTCAGGAAACAACAGGTGCTGGAGAGGATGTGGAGAAATAGGAACACTTTGACACTGTTGGTGGGACTGTAAACTAGTTCAACCATTGTGGAAGTCAGTGTGGCGATTCCTCAGGGATCTAGAACTAGAAATACCATTTGACCCAGCCATCCCATTACTGGGTATATACCCAAATGACTATAAATCATGCTGCTATAAAGACACATGCACACGTATGTTTATTGCGGCATTATTCACAATAGCAAAGACTTGGAACCAACCCAAATGTCCAACAATGATAGACTGGATTAAGAAAATGTGGCACATATACACCATGGAATACTATGCAGCCATAAAAAATGATGATTTCATGTCCTTTGTAGGGACATGGATGAAATTGGAAATCATCATTCTCAGTAAACTATCGCAAGAACAAAAAACCAAACACCGCATATTCTCACTCATAGGTGGGAATTGAACAATGAGATCACATGGACACATGAAGGGGAATATCACACTCTGGGGACTGTGGTGGGGTGGGGGGAGGGGGGAGGGATAGCATTGGGAGATATACCTAAGGCTAGATGACGAGTTAGTGGGTGCAGCGCACCAGCATGGCCCATGTATACATATGTAACTAACCTGCACAATGTGCACATGTACCCTAAAACTTAAAGTATAATAAAAAAAAAAAGAATTTTTATAAACATTTCTATAATCACTAAAGTGAATTTTTGAATTCCCTATTAAGTTAGGGTTTTTAGTTTTAGAGAAAGCTACCAAGTTTAAATTTTTATATTATAAAATCAAATTATTTCAGCACAAATGTGTGTGTCATAGCCAGTAAAAATGAAGAGGGAACCTCAGTTTTTCTCATATTGTATAAGTTGACACAGTTACAAAAAAATAAGAACCATGATTCACAAGTAGTTTCGTAAAAATAAAATAACTCAAAATGAATAAATAGATTTTGATAAAACCTATCTTTATCAATTATCAGTGATATTTCATATTGGGTAAAGTTTGAATAAATTCATACTTTTCATTTTTTCTACATACATCTTATACTATCTCACAGTTTAAATATAAGATATCCATTACATTCGGAAAACACAAAGAATTCTCCCAATGTTGGGGAGCTTACTTTTTATATATACTTATAAATTAAATAGTATTGAAAAGAAAGACTTTAGGGTATCCATTGTAGGTCAGGATGGGAGATGGAAAAGATTAGAGTAGAATTCTGGGTAAAAGAATTTACAGATGCTCACAGGTTGATGATAACACAGCAAAGTAAACAGGCAATTAAAACAGATGACTGTAATTGCTAACAGAGGTAAACACAGAATATTAACTGTCAGTCCACACATCTTTGAAGGAAACAACCCCAATAAAGACGGTAGGATGAGGATGAGGAAGGAGAGGACATTGTAGATAAAGGAAAAAACACTGGCAAATGTATGAGGTGTGAAGAGTAGTGTTTTAATTGATGAACTGCAAGATGTTTGGTGTAGCTGCTGTGAGAAGTTGATGTGAGATAGAGGTAGGTGACTGGACTGGAAGGTTCAGGGACATCAGATGAGGAATTTTGGATGACAAAACATTTGGATTTGATATGCAAGAAAATAAGGATTTGGAAACTAAAATTTTTTACTGTGACCAGTATAACACCACATACTTTTGTACGTCAATAAATACAGGTGATAAGAATAAAATTTTCATGTCTGGCAACATAATGTATGTATGTCATTACCCCAGCAGTTAAGTCATTCAATTATTTGCATATATGATTCAGGTTTATACAAATATACTCATGATTCACAGGACCATCAAATATAGATTAGTTAGAAGATATTTTTAAAAAATAAACTTATAGCGAAGTTGTGAAAATAATACAACCAACTCCCTTCATGCTGCACCCAGGTTCCCTACTTGTGAATATCTTAGCCATGTATGTTTAACATTTTTCCTTTCCTTCCCTCTCTCTCACCCAACTTTTCTTCTTCTGTCTCTCTGCTTTTTCTTTTGTGTATATGTCTTCATGTGTGTGCATGTGTAGGTGTCTGTGCATCTAATATTTCTTAATGAATCAGTTGAATGTAAGTTGCAGATAAGTTCGTACCACCCCTAAAAATTTGTGTGAATTTCCTAAGTTAAAAGGATACTCTGCCATACTGCAATAAATCATCTAAATCAGCAAATGAACATCAAAAACAATTCCACCATCTAGAATACCATTTATCACATTGACTCCATTCAAATTTTAACAATTATTCCAATAATTCCCTTTGTGGACAGTTTTTTCTTCTGGTCTAGGATCCACTTTTTTGGTCATGTCTTTTTAGCCTTTTTCAACTGTAAGCAGTTCCTAAATCTTACCTTTCCTTTGTGACTGTAATACTTCTTTAAGAGCATGGCCAGTTAGTTTACAGAATGCCCTTCAGTTTAGATTTATCTAATATTTCTTTACAATTAGTTTTAGATTCTGTACTTCATCACAGATATTAAAAATATGTTGACTTGTCCAATTACTAGTGATATTTCATTAAGATTATGGCTTCAACCATCACTGCAAAGTTACTGTTTTTTCTTTTGTAGTCAGTAAGTGGGGGGAAAATTAAGTAAGAATAGTTTTTTTTTTTTTCTTTGAGACAGAGTCTCTCTCTGTCGCCAGGCTGGAGTGGAGTGGTGCAATCTCAGCTCAGTGCAAGCTCTGCCTCCTGGGTTCACGCGATTCTCCTGCCTCAGCCTCCCGAGTAGCTGGGACTACAAGCATGCGCCACCACATCCAGCTAATTTTTGTATTTTTAGTAGAGATGGGGTTTCACCATGTTGGCCAGGATGGTCTCAATCTCTTGACCTTGTGGTCTGTCTGCCCCGGCCTCCCAAAGTGCTGGGATTACAGGCGTGAGCCACCGCGCCTGGCCAGGAGGAGTATTTTAAGACTGAAAATATTCCTTTCTCAACAAATTTTCAGTGTCTAATTTTAACATTCATTGAAGATTGTTGTCTGCATCAATTATTGTTGTGATGACTGCTAAATGGTGATTTTCTTGTTTCTACATTTATTAGTTGAAACTTTACTATAAGGAATAATTTTCCAATCTCCCCATTTATTTGCCTAATATTTGTCTCTTTGTATCAGTAGGAACTCAAGAATTCCTATTTTATTCAGTATGTTAGAATCTGTTTAATTTGTTATTGCCAGTATTTAACTTGATGCTCAAATTATCCCAGATTATCTGAAGATTATTTTGTTTTTTTGTTTGTTTTTGTTTTTTTTTTGTAGACAGGGTCTTGCTGTGTTGCCCTGACTGGAGTGAAATGTTGCAGGAGTGCAGTGGTGTGAGTGGCATGATCAAAGCTCACTGTAACCTAGAATCCTGGGCTCAAGTGATCCTTTCACCTCAGCCTCCCAAGTAGCTAGGACTACAGGCATGGGCCACTACACCCCAATAATCTTTTTAAATTTCTTTTGTAGAGACAGCATCTGGCTATGCTACCCAGGCTGGTCTCTAACTCCTGGCCTCAAGGGATCCTCCTAACTCTGGGTGAAGATTCTGAAAGCTGGATTCCAAGTTTAATTTTTTGAGCACTACTCTTTTTTTGAGACAGAATCTTGCTCTGTCACCCAGGCTGGAGTGCAGTGGCACGATCTCGGCTCACTGCAAACTCTGCCTCCCGGGTTCAAGCAATTCTTCTGCCCCAGCCTCCAGAGTAGCTGGGATTATAGGCATGCGCCACCTTGCCTGGCTAATTTTTGTATTTTTAGTAGAGACGGGGTTTCACTATGTTGGTCAGGCTGGTCTTGAACTCCTGACCTCATGATCCGCCTGCCTCGGCCTCCCAAAGGGCTGAGATTACAGGAGTGAGCCAGCATGCCCGGCAAGCACTACTTTATAAAACAAAATACTTCAGGCTTATCTTAAACTTTCATTGCCCCATCCCTGTAACCAGAAATTATTCCAAGAGCCCTGTTGTTTTTTAGTAAATAATGGTCTTTAAAATTTGGGTGCTTGGTGGAATCACTGTTTCTGGGATGATATTGCTTCTTGTCCCTCTCAAAAGACATGGTTAGGAAATATATGTGTTATGAGCACCCACACATACACATTATCTCATCTATCTACCTATCATCTATCAAAAATCAAAAGTTTATACCAATGCCTCTAAGTCCAGTTCAATACCAGAGGCGTCAATCTACCTTCACTACTTCCATATTTTAAAATTTCTTCTCTAACAGGGAGTAATCAGATGCCCATTATGGTAAATATATTTACTCATTCGCTGACTTCCTATGTGATCAATATCTGACTTCATGAACCGCTTCCTCACCCGAATGACTCCTCTGTCCCACAGACAATCTTAGCACTTTCTGACACCTGAATTCTTCTGTTCCTGCCTCGCCAGACCCTACTTCAAAGGAATGAAAGAAAAAGGAAAGAAAACAAGAAAAAGCAAAAGAAAGTAAAGGAAAGGGAAGAGGAGGGGGTAGGAAGAGAAGGGAAGGGAAGAAAAGAGAAGAGAAGGGAACCAATGAATATTATTTAAAGAAGAGAAGGTGAGAATAAAAGACAAGGAAAAGAACACACTAAAACAAAGTCTTAGTTGGAAAACAACGTTCAAGACTCTTCAGTCTTTTAAATACTAAGCAAAAATGTGTCATTTAGCTTCCCTATGCTAATGAATTTGTTTCAAACATAAATAAAGCCCTGACAAAATCAAGTAGCAAGGATTATATCCCCAAGAAGTCAGATCTACAGTCTGTTAGGAAGAAAAATTATTGTGGTAAATATTTCATATTGCTTGTTGACGTTATGAAAATGCAGAGTAAGGAATCATAAGTCTCTAAGAGGTCATATATTTTAAGATCAAGGATAGGTTTTTTATTCCTCTCTTACATTTGAAATTGTTTCTTCTAAACTGAAAGTTATGTTTCAGCTTAAATGTTACTACTTTTATAAAACTTTTCTAATACTTCATAAATGTTTAGATGCTGTTTTAAAATAAGCATCCAAATCTAGTAGTTAACCCAAGGGAAGACAGACTGTAATTGCTTACATATGTCTGCTTCACTTGACTGTGAACTCCTTGAAGGGAGGGATGTTCATCTCATTCATTTTTGTATTGCAACCAGCAGAGAGCTTGGAAAATAAAACATGCTTGGTAATTGTACCTGCAGAATTAACGAATACATTCTTCAGATCTCATTTTAATTGCAGGGCAATTGTGAAATAAATCTGGGGTCCAGAGAGAGTTTTCCAATGCTGTGATATTAGCACTTGCATATCCCAGTGTCGATTTCCTAATTTAGATGCAGTGCTGCATTTTTTCATGTGTTTACGTTAATGCCCTCTGTGACCTTTTGTACACCTTCACAGTCCTTATTCATCTTATACTTGTATGGGTTTTTATTGCTTTCCTAAATTAATTAACTCTGCACTAGTCACCCTTGAACTCTATCTTATTTATAGTCACCAAGGTCATCTGAACTATGAAAAACTCATTTCTTTAATAGAACAACAAGCCAATTTAAACTTCTGTCATTTTCAAAAATGATGAATATATTCTTTATTCATTTTCCATGTCTATGTGTAAGATATCAGAGTGCACTGGGCCTTCAATTTGAGAGGAATCTGGAGTTGTTTTGTTATTCTAAATCTAGCTATGCTGTCTGAAAACCTCAGGTAACTTTTATCTTTTCTAATCTTTAAAACAATATATAATCTAGATATTATCATCTTCATTTTGAAGTTAAGGTGTATAAGCTCAGAGATTTTCGATGATTCATCCAAAATCATACAGCCAGCAAGCAGTAGAATGGCTACTCTACCTCTGTGTATCAAACTCCGTGTCACGTGCCTTTCACTATTTCACCCCATTGTTCTCCCCAGCTTTTTACTTTGAAATAGATCAGAAAAGTTGAAAGACTAGTCCAATGAGTATTGATAGATTCTTCATCTAGATTCACCAGTTGATACTGTTTGCTTTATCTGTTTCTCTGCATCTGTTTCTTTTTATAATGCAAGATCTATCTATCTATCTATCTACCTATCTAGATCAACAGATTGATGAATAGATTAATATATATAAATATGTATACACATAGATTTTTTCTTTTAATGAACTATCTGAAATTAGTTTTACACATTTGACACTTCACAATTAAATAATGCAGTATGTGTCTCCTGATCACAAAGGTATTATATACTGCTTGTACACACATCACCCATGTAGCAGTCTTGCTACAAATGTTTAGCCTGATTGAAGCAATGAGGAAACTATCAGATACAACCAGGTCAGTGTGTGTTCTATACAACAACAGTGTGGAATCTTGCAAAATATTAACATCATAGAATCAAAAAAAAAAAAAAAGAGGGGAGAACTGTTCTAGATTAAAGGAGACAAAATTACCTGAAAACTAAAGACAGTACATCACCCTTAATTTGATCCTATATTGAAGGAATAAAATAAAATAAAACCATCTATGAATGACATTTTCAGAACAGTTGGGAAAATGTAAATATGGGTAGCATATTAGATATCAGTCATCTATTATTTACACAATTGTTTTTTAGAACAAAAATAATAAGTGTCTCTGGAACACTGTTTTCTCTAAAATCTGTGTATACATATTGAGATCCACAGAATTATATTTTTAAGTTTTCTCTAATATACATGCAAACATATACAGATCCACATGAATTATATGTTTTTATTATTTTTATAAATATAGTATGTGAACTCCTATAGCTGTTTTTACTAGGTATCAAAGTTTTAGATGTAGTAATGGGAAAAAATACATATACAAATATTTTAACCTAAATAATATATTTAATTAAAAATAAGTGAAAGTAATTCAAAATTTGTCTTATGTACAGATCTTGAACTCGTTATTATTAACATTGCATTTTATGTAAGATAATTGGTTATTTCCTTCCTGATAGTGGAACAGTTGGTAATTACTTCTCTCACTATATGTAACACTTTTTTAAAAAAAATCAGATACTTAGTCATAAACCACACAAGCCCTTAAAAGGAGCTGAGACATATGAGTTAATTGAGATCATCAAATATATCAAATATATTTTGTGGCTAGTATGCCATATATGTAACTTTTCATTACATAAAATATTTTACTATATAAAGAAGAAAGGCTATATAAGAGAGGAAAAGATTACCATGAGGATGAAGAAGGAGAGAAACTACAAAGTATAGTGGTGAATAAAACAGATCACTATCACATATACTTAGAACTGAGAAGGACCTGGTCAGGTAAAAAACAATTTCCTTCATTATCCAGACACACAGAGAATACAATACATTTAGGTGTAAGTTGGAGAGTTTATAAATTCAAATTGAAAGATAATGTAAATGTTGGTTATTACACTTAAAAATAGTCAATTGAAATAAGCTATACTTTGCTCCTGAAACATTAATTAATGTTTTTAAAATAATATATAAAAATAAGTCATTTAGAGTTTACTTTTTTAAATACTTTTTCTCCAAATCTGCTGACATAGGGTCTGATAATTATTTTAATTGATTGAAATTGAATTTAAATATAATGGACACAGCTACAGTACCCCTTACTGCAGACATTCCCTTTATATTAGAGCTTGTTTTTCTTAAATAATACATATTTAAAATTGTATATTAAAATGTATACCTAAGAAGAGACAGAGCTCTATTTATGTGATCCACAGCCTTTAATACAGTAATTCATAACATATTTCTTCAACCAATTTGGAGACATGTTGAAAAAAGGACAACATATACAGAAGAAATTCACTTCTTAGAGAAAACTTTATGTCCAGAACTTGAAAATTCCTAATCAATACAGGGCCTGGGTACATTTTGCCACCTGGATGGAATGAAACAAAATCATTTATTTTCTCAAGGTAAACACCAGCATATTACTGTGCTGATAGAAATAATTTCTATTTTTACAGAATAGAATAATTTATTGGCTCAGTTAATAGTGTTGCTAAATTTGTTTCCAACACTGTAGTTATCTCTGTCTTTTTCCCACTCTTCGTGTCCAAGAGTCCTTTGGTAATGGCTGTGTTTCATTTCAAATTCTTTAACTCGTCTCTCTCTATAGACATTCTTATTTTGGTCCCATGGCTTAGTTTAAGTTTCCATTATATCTTACATATTATTGCATTAAATTTTTCTTATTTCTTTGCTCCCAGTCTCTATCTTATGCCATCTAACTTATGCCAAATCCTATTTCATAGTTAAATATCTAAATTTCAGATCTTACCTTGTTACTTTCTGTCAGAATTAGCTATCTAGCTCTTTCCCCAACTTCTTTCTAACACAACCCTGATTTTGTTCAGGTATCAGGTGGTAGCCTCATGTTGGGGGGATTCTAGGAATCATGATTCATTTCTGAGTGGGTTTATGGAAGGATTTCGGTCATTGAAACATATATTTTCTTATTTATTTACTTATTATTTTTAAGTTTTGGGATACAGGTGCCAGTATCCTCAGCAAACTAACACAGACAGAAGTTTTTTACTGGGTAAAATTTCTAGGCAAAGCTCTTAATAAAAAACACAGGAAAAAAGCTTTGATCCTTCCTTTGGGTACTGTTTGAAAATGTGATGCTTGAAATTCGGCCATCTAGAAATTATAAGGAGAAACAAATGCAGAGAAATAGAGTTAAAGCCATGCTTTCACTGAGTGATTGAATTCACCATCCCTGAATCCACCTTATATCGCTATACCTTCTTGTTACGTGAGATAATGGATGTCCTAATTTTTCTTTCAGTTAGGTCTTCTGTTAGTTGATGCATAAATAAATTACACTATTCAGATTTCCCAATGTTGTCCCTAGTTACCCACCTGAGAAAATTCACAATATTTGGCGTAGAATGTAAGTCATCTTGAATGATCAGCCTTGCTCTAGTCTAACTGTATTTTCACGTGACCACTTTCCCCTTAGCCTGCTGTCACAGAGAACATTCATAAACTCAGAGTCACAGGCCCTTTCACTTCTATGTGTCTTCTGTATTGTAACCTGAGTGAACCATGCCTGCCAACTCACTTTCCTCACTCCGAGCTCTTTGGCCAACCCATATTCTCTGATTTTGCCGTTAGGATTAGGAACAATCATAATTTCCTGATTTTGTTTTGTTTTGTATTAATTTCCAAAACAAACTATGTATGTATAATCTTAGCAATTACATCATGCATACACCTGTTGTGTTCTCCAATCAGACCACTAGATTATAAATTCTTTTTGTTTAATGGGGGTCGTTTTAGTTGAGAGGGAAGAAAATTCAAGAAGTGACTGATAAAATGAGGGGTTTACACCTATCTGTCTTTGAAAACTGTGCAAATTATTTCCTTTTAAAGTTGAAGAAGAGAATGAAATTTAATGTAATAACCACTTGGAATGAGGGAAGCTGTAATGATTATAAAAGGAGGGTGTAATGGGTTTAGTTTGTTTGTTTTGTCTTTGCTGACACTGCAGAGAGAGGAGTTAGAGGCAGAAACTGAAGGAAAAGATTAGAAAAGAACACGTGGGCCTGGGTAGAAGCAGATTTAAGTGGAAAGTAACAATGAGAGTGTGAAATTCCTGCAGCAGACTCCTGATAACAGACATGGCATGGCTGACATCCACAGTGGCATGTGGGGGAGCAGCAGCAGGACTAACAGGATAAGATTCATGGTTGAACACTTTAGACTCCCCTGAGCATGCCAGAAATACATTATAGGGGACTTTTGAAAAGGACTGAGATCTGGGAGTGTCCCAGTGCAATGGAAATTTGAGCATGTATGCTAATGTGACCTTATTTGTCCCCAGAAGCAATAGCATTTTTGCCATTTGAGATGCATCCATATTCCAACTCATCTATAACAGTGCCTTACACCCAGTAGGCATGCAATAACTATTTGCTAGATTGAACCAAATAAATGTGCCTAATTCTTCGATTAGTCATGACCAGTCAGTACATTCTTGGTTATCCTTCCAGGAGGTAGAAACATTCTGAGTTGGAAAATATTGTATTAACTATAAAGCAATTTTGCAAAATAAATATAACTGTATAATACTTAATAAAGGAATTGAGGACATTTCTCTTGTATTTTTTATTTTTTCAGGAGCAACAAGCATAAAAGGTAGTAAAAATAGTGAGGGCACTCAAAATCTCCAATTCATAGAGTTTTTAAAAAATTACCATACTGCAAATGCAAATTTGTGCCTGCAACACTTTGCTGTCAAAATAAATTGATCTCTGTGTGAATGATAATACTTAAGCTTGTGGCCTTTCTGAGGAAATGCACCTGCAGCAGAATGACAAACGAGGGGAGGTGATTATTTGGCACATGGTCTCTACGGTTACAGGAACCTGTTTTGAAGTAGAAGTACAATCTCCTGAATAGTAGAACTGATTATATTTTTCAGGATCTCTCAATTTTTTTCACATATTTCCTGGACTTATTTTATCCATATAGTGCCCTTGGTAATTTCTGAATCATAGGCATTCAGAATTCCACCACTATCACAGGGATTTGTGGAGTATTTACAGATTCAAATTCTAAAGCACAGAGCTCTTTGGCCAACCATATTTCTCTGATTGTACTTTGTATGCGATGATACATAGTTCTGTTTGTTGCTGTCCAGGGATGATGATAGAAACAGGGACTGAGTCAAATACAAAGAGCTGTTTCCCAACAGAAAATAAATTGTCTTTGTCATAAGGCATTTTCTTAGACATTGTTGCTTTTGTGGTTCTACTTGCCTCCTGGGTGGAAAAAAAAAATCCTGAAAAACCAATCCTGTCCACTTCAAGTTTCTGCATCCAGGCCCTGTATCTTCAATCCCAGGTTTATTTTTTTCTTTATTTTAATATAGATTTTTGTTGAGTGCTTGCTGTTAAGTACATAGTGTTACATAGTAAACAACAAATGTAGCATATCTGATCATCCCAAACTTGTGACAGAATAGTTGCTCTTACCTCAATTGACTAAGCTTTTCTTCAATAAAATTCACATGAAAATGTCTATTCTCATCTACTCTATTCTTTAACAGAATATGTAAAACATCTTTAAATAATTTATATGCTGCCATTCTAAACTATTACTATCTTGTAACAAATCAAATCACATGAATTTTATCTAATTTATAGACCATATAACTTCATTCTTGCAACATTCTCTGACTTCTATGATTATTTATTTTATGATAAATAAGCTGCAGAAATATTTTTTCTAATTTAATGTGAACACTGACACATATTTGGAAATTCTTATCATTAGAGAATCATAAAAATCCATATATTATGAGCCTGTATTACACACATACATAGACAAATGGAGAGACAGAAGAAAGCATAAAAGTTTCTGAAAGGTGGACAGTCATTAAGTTTGCCTTGTTTGTTGAGGTTATGGTTGTGTTTCCTCTTCTAAATTTACTAATTTTCTTGTGTAAGTAAAATAGAAAATTGAAAAGTAGCCTCCTACTCATCAGGGAGTTAACAGAGGCATCTTTAGTTGTTAAATCTTATGCATTTCCTAAACTTATGAATGATAAATTGACATTACTTTTATTATTAGAAAATGACAGCCTTAAAACTTTAT
Source organism: Homo sapiens (assembly GCF_000001405.40). Lineage (NCBI taxonomy): Eukaryota > Metazoa > Chordata > Mammalia > Primates > Hominidae > Homo > Homo sapiens. The sequence continues at coordinate 91,126,117 of NC_000004.12, read as the reverse complement.
ATACAAAAAATTTATCTTAGATAGAAATATATACATAAGTCTCATACTAACTTATCTATAACTTTTTTCCCCTGTGAGTAATAACAATGAGTGTAAATCAAGAGTCCGTATATTGGAATATACATTCAGTATATTTGCTACATAAAATTTCCATGAAAGCAAATTTTTTTAAATGGAGATGTATATTTAATATATTCTTGGATTAAACCCAGTCTTTCACTAGGCCTGTAGTGATTTATTAAACCTGTGAAATTGAAATAAGTTTTTTAAAAAACTAATTCTTGTGCCTGTGTTAAATACACTTTTTTTGGTTTATGTTGGTAGTTTTAAAATTTTACAATTATGTACAATAATTCTCATTTTTTTCGGTGTTAAAGTTGAAAATGTATACCCTTTTTCTACTTCATATCTATTTTCAAGAAATAAAATAGGCCTATTTTGGATGAATCTCCTGGGCTATGTTAAATCATGCATCTTTGTGATACAACAGATGGATATCTGAAATTTTTGTGTGTGGTATTTCAAACAAAATCCATGTGTTTTGTAAAGGCATTAGGGAATTTAGATAGGTAAGAAATATCTTCTAAAGCACAAAACATCCTCTTGTAAAGCAAACACATCTTAATTAATCTGCCTTATAAACATGAATGTTCATATACTGCCAATTTTTAATGCAGACTAGACATGGATCTCTAATGAGGGATAAATTTTACTATTCACTGTGGGAATTCTTGATATGTAATGTTTATAAAAATCTTCCATACTACTAAAAATAAAATTGCCATGCAATGTTTTTAGTAGCAATTATATTAGATTTTACTGTTAAGTGAGCTTCTCTATATTAATCAGTTTTAATGAGAATTTATTCCCCATATATACATTATCACACAACATGTGTCATGCTAATTGTATACAAGTAGTAATTATTTCATAAATCCTGATGTAATTCATTTTTTAAAATATACCTAAATATATATACAAATTTGATATACTGATTGAAGTAGAAGCAAGTTTTAATCCCATGTAATAGTTTTAAAGTATAAAAGAAATAAAATCATAAATTTATTTCTATGTATATTTTCAATCCTTATAGGACTTACATCCAAGAAGTTAAAAGGTATGTTAATCTTGCTTTCACTTACACAAGTAACATGTAGGGAAAGAAAGTTCAAAAGAAGCTGCTCTCTTGTTTAAGAGAAGTCAGTGAAAAAAATTAAAGTAGATCAAGCTTCAATATCATAAAATTTAAATTCATCTAGGAAAAAGACTTTGACTCTCTCAGCTCATGATGCTAACACTTCCAAACTCTGATTACTAAGACTTAATAAAACAACCATAAAAATCTTTGTTGATTTATTCATTCATCCTTTCACACACATTTAATGAGTGTCTGCTTCTATAGCAAACATTGTTCTAGGCACTGGAATATAAAAATGAATAAGACATGGTTCCATATTCAAAGAGTTTATCAAATTATGAAAAGATAATAAACTAAAACAGGTACATTCATATATCGTAGTAGGTACCACAATTGAGACAACAGTATAGAGGAGTTGGGAACACAGAGAAGCAGCAGCTAAGTCAGTCTGAATGGGATGAGGGAGATGGGGAAGCTTGAATCAAGTCCTGTCTTCCTCAGAGTTAGCTAGATGGAAACTGTTCATGAGGATAAATACACTACACTTTGGGAAAAAAATAATATGTAAAGGCATTAGGTATGAGAAATTATATATTCAGGTTTGTAGAGAGTCTCAACCAAAGATGTGCATCGGTTTTTCAAATCAGATGTAGTTTTTAATATAATGCAGAATTTCTCTTGTTTTATTTACACTATGTTTGGTTGCACAGATGTAACTCTCTTCTAAAGAGAACTAATGACAATATTTGAAATTTTTATGACAGTAATATTCTTGTATAGTTTACCAATATTTAGAAAAGAAAAAATAATTAACAATTAGTATATAGGTTATGCATCAGGGAAAAATACATTAATTTTATTTTAATACAAGTTTTATACTTTAGTCACATAGTCCAGCAATAAAATCCACAGGGGTCATAAAAAACATACAATCATATAAGGCAATTCTATCACTGAACTTAATTTGTGCTAGTGTGTCCTGCTCACAGTGGATATGAGCTCTTAATAATGACATATAATTAGATAAACAAAAGAATGGATGGCAGAAAATACTGATAGAATGCCAGCAGACTAGTACTAGGTTTAATTAAATTAGGATGACACTATATCATTGTTAGCTCCAAAACACCAACTTCAATTTCATAAATATATAAATCTGTCTCAGTTACATACAGAAAAAAATTATTCTTTTTCTTGTAAATTGTTATAGTGACAAAATTAAATACTGAACTTAAACTCCCTTCAACTAATGCAAAACCAAGTGTAAAGAATTAGAATTATGGGTATCACATAGTTGTTCTAAAAGAAAGTCTCTATTCACACAAATGCGGTAAGTGATAAGAAACCACCATCACTGAGAGGTTAAGCAATTTGCCCAGAATCAAAGTCAGAATTTACAAAATGGAGAAATATTTCGTCATGTTTTGTAATTCCAGACTTTTGAGTTAAGGCTTAGGTTTCCTGACCCCATGCTTTAGCAGCTATAACATGGAGCCTTTAAGTATCTTAATCAATTAAATACAAAGATGACTATCTTTTTTAATATTAAATAATTTCCTATATTAGAAACTACTACACTAATTTTCTCATTCCCTGAAAAGCACTTAGAATGGAAAAAAAGTAGACTATTTGGGTAAATATTTTACTGATTCTTTTGTATTTCTTATCATAAGCTTTTCTTTGAATGAAACATGTTTCTAAGTTACAGTGCTATAATGAATCTGACTAATCGAACTGCAAATAATGAGACAAAATGAGAAAGATTAAATGAAAACTATGCTATTTGAAAGAAAATCAATTTGTTAATAAACTTCATGGGTATGCTCCTTGGAACAGATATAATAAAATAGCTGAGATGAAATACACTTTCTTTAAAAAAGGTATCATTGAACAAGCATGATTGCAGCATAATAAAGGCCCAACTCTATTTTTATCCCACTGTTCCCCTAATATTTATTCAATGAAATAGTATTCTGCCCTATATGAAAATTTGGTTAGGTCCCCTGAATTTTCTGCTCACATTTAAATAAAATCATTTGAAGTAATGCAATAGAATTGATTCAGAAAATTATACATTGTAAGATGTTAATTAACACCGTCTTCCTTCAAGATGAAATTTGTTTATTCACATGTCCACTCTTGTATTTGGTGGTTGTATGCCTTCAGGAGAGGTAGGCATTGTGATCAGCTCCTCATCCCTTTTGTATAGGCTCATTTTCCTAACATGCTAAGTCAAGGGCAGGCATTAGAAAAAGTATTCTTTGTTTTTGACCTTCTTCATAATGAGTTCAATGTGCTAGTATATCTTTGGAATGATAAAGCAAAAAACACTTCCAACGGAATATGATCTATATTTATAGTGATGAGTTGGGGTTATTGTTTGCCTTGGATCAGTATTTAATAGGTTTTTCCTTTTTCTAGTTTTGGTTGTTTGCATCATTTTAAAAATAGGATTTTGCGGGAGAATCATGTTGAAGGGAAAACATGTTTGATATTTGCATATAGTTTTTCAGGTTGTATATTACTGAGGCAACAAAATATGTGGAAGGGTCAGAAAAAAAATGTCAAGTTGCTGAAACATGTTATACATGAGTAATGAATGATATACTTTCAAAGAATTATTGACTATTAAGCTCAACAAATGAGTATCAATAGTAAATTATCTTAGGTTTGACCAAGAATTATTTCTGTATCTACGAGTCTACAAAGTTAATAGATAGTAGGCTAAGAATAATTGATAGTATCAAGGAACCATCACTATTTACTGTTGATTTTTTAATGCAAATCTTGACCAATCAGGGATCACTTGTTAAAATAACTTTTAAAGACAAGCATCTTTTCCTGAGTCAAGCTTAGTCCCTTAGAATCCATATTCCATGTCAGGTACCAAAGCTGGATATTTCAAAAATGTCACCAAATAACTTCAAAATTATTTTTGGAGGAGAAACAAATCACAAAAGTAATTTCTTCTTCATTCATTCTGAAATAAGTCAGAATCTTCTGCCCAAAATGACTTTTTATATGTTAAAATGGAGTGACACATATATAATTTCTACTTAATTTCTTTTGACATCCATAGATAATTTATCAATATTTATCTATATTTCTATAGAAATTATGGATGTCAAAAGAAATTAAGTAGAAATTATTTTAGGTGGGGTAGACACTATAACCAAAAGTTTCTCAATAAATAAATGATAACTATAGTGCTAGCATACATTAACTATTTTATAATACTTTCTTTTTAAAGGAAAGTATTACATTTTAAAAAATTATTTCTTGGTATAGATTTATCTAAAAGTCAAAAATAAATAATATTTTGGCCCAAAATACATATTTATGATTAGATACTAAGTTAATAGTGCATATTTGAAAAACCTGGAAGAGATATGTTATTCAATTAACAACAACATAGCACATACTGAAGTAAAATTTTTCACTTTATTTACATTGGGCATTACCTCAATGTAATTTTTCTTTACAATGATATCACTAATTAACGGCCATACACTTCTACTATAAAGAACAGAAAATAGGAACAGTTTCCTCTTAGACAACTTCTTTTCCTTACACAGTAGATAGATTCTTAATGGTAAACTGCAGTAAGTGTCAGAACTTTGACAAATCTCTTGAAGTATACTAACAGTATTATTAATATTCAAAACTGTGAATCAGGGACAAAAATAAATCATTTTTCATTATTATTTTGCCATTATGAAACTAATAATTAAATTGGTAAGAGAAGGAAAATGTTACAAGAAATACTTTATATGACTGAGTTCAACGACAATATAAATCTCCAATGGGGAGCAGGGGAGGGATGAATATTTAAAATCCCCACATGAGAAAAAAAAAAAGATGTCAGCAAACAGTTTATGTAACATATATAAAGAATTTACTCAAGAAAGCCTAAATTTTCCAATTGAAACTGTCAAAATGTTTTTTATTAAACATCCATTTCTATATGACCCTTTTCCAAATCAGAATAGAAAGCAGGAGGGAGAGAGAAGAGAGGTGTTTATCTAGAATATGAAAAAGAGCAGGTGTTTTTGAAGTACTCATTCACTCCTTTGTAAGACAACTTGTCATCCCCTCTTTCTTGAAACACATCCCCTGATTTTCCTGGTTTTATTTTGTTAGTTTCTGGATATCATTTTTCTACCTCCATCTCAGATTCCTCTTCTTGATCACCTCGGACTTATAAACATAGCCCAGGCCCCAGCCAAAGTAATCTGGCCCATTTTCTCTACACCTTGAAGATAATTTTCCCTCCTGGATTCAACTACCCTCTGTCTGTAGATGACTTCCCAGAATAATCCCTCAAATTTTTACGCCTCATGACATAGATTCCTCTCATGAATTAAGTAGGAAGAATTTTCACAAGTACTCAACCTGTAATCTTTCAAAAAAAACTTTAAAGCTAAAGTATCATCCCATGTTTTAGCTTTCCTCTGAGATTCCTTATTCTTATACAGTTAGCCCTTCCACTCAGACTTAAAACCTTGCAATAATCTTTGATTTTTCTTTCAAGTAATACTGAAGTAATCTCTAAGAGGTGGAAAATCATCCTTTATATTAACTCTGACCTCATTGTCTTTCAGTATCCATCATCATCATGATGCTGATATAAGACCACGTAATTATATAGCAGAACCTCTGTCTCTTTGTCTCATGCAATTACTTCCATAAACCACAGCCACACTTTGCTCCAACTATGCTTTATTCTAGTTAAGTATCATGTTTCAAAGTTTATTTAACTCTTTTAGAGCTCTTTTCAAGAACTTAATATTGAATTAATGAATGGGAACTGGTATGATCATTGACTCTTAAATGAGATATACAAATCACTATTATGCAAATTATTATTAAACAATCGAAGTATTCTAATCTCCATACCCCACTCTCTATGGCTTAATAGCTCTATATTAAAATCAAACTATTTTAGTCATCACATATAACTCAATTGTACATGTCAGTTTTATTATCTTTAAAATTATGGAGGTAGAACTAGATAATTTATAAAACTCCATAGGGTTGTAAACCCTCCACTTTTCCAAACTGTCCCCATCCATGGCAAATCTTCCTAACTGCTTTTTAAAATCCTATACAAAATAAGAATTCTCTTTTAAAAAATATGCTTTACACACATATTTATACATATAAAATGCACACTACACAATATATGCATAATTTTTTCAATTATCTATTCATCTATCTACATACTTGTCATATGCCTACTTAGTAATATACTAATCTCTATTCATTTTGAAGACAGTCCTGTTAATTCCCTATATACTTATATACATAGTAAATAGCCCTACATTTCAATTTTTTTCTATTTATACACAGCTAATCAGTACAAATGACTTCTCAGACTACATCTACAGTTAACTTCAGTTTGAAAAAATTGACTCAACTGTGTTTTGGTTATAAAAGCATATTTTGAATCTGTTAACTATTATTTTCTTTTTAACATCTCAAAGAAATATACAGTATATAGAAGTTATGAGAATCTAAAAATATGAGTGAAGTTAAATGTTAAAAATGTGGTCTAGAAATGTTCTCAGGGGTTTGTCTGTATCAAATCCCTAAGAACATTCCTAGATATATTTTATATATATATAATTTTGCATATCTGAAAACACATTACAATGGCAGTTCATTTTAGGCTTAATAGTATGAATTAAACACAGTTTGTAAAAGAAGAGAGGCTAAAAGAAGATTGAAAGAATAATACTCTATTCTAAGTGACTAATCTTTTTTCTCCTTTGCTCACCAGTGGAGTTTAATCAATGTTTTCCTGAAATCTCTGCCATGACTTAGCAGTAAGCATATGCATCTCTGAATACAGGGCAAATGTATTATGGGAATGATTTACCAGAAAAGAACATCTGCCCCTTTTTATACATGAATATCAAAACTGCAGATTGCAACTTCAATAACTCACTCCTTCACACCTCTTTTAAGGAAGGAAATTTAAGTTGTCTTTTAAACACTAACTTGCACATTCACTGAGAATCCCAAAGCAGATTTTCCTTACCCAGACTGCCTGTGGAAGAAATGAGGCTATATTATCAAGGTTTCTAAATTTGAACAATTTACCCAAATTTCACCACAGAAACATCTTCTACAAAAACTACTGGTAAGAGTTGATCATAGTACCCATTTTCAAAATGACACAGTCTAACACTTATGTCATTGAGAAAGTTGCAAGTTAGATATTATGCAAAAGAGACAGAAAGAGCACTGAAGTATAATTAGGAATGAAGCTTTTGTTCATATAAACAGAAGGCATTCTTTTGGGATGTATAAAATATGTGTTTATTCATAAAAGCTTACTTTCTCTTCAGTGTTTTAATTTCCTATGAAGTTAACCAATCTAAATGAGACTTCATGACTAGGCTCAGCCAGGCACAGTGGCTCATTCTTGTAATCCCAGCACGTTAGGAGGCCAGGGCAGGAGGAATGCTTGAGCCCAGGAGTTAGAGACCAACCAGGGCAACATAGTGAGCCCCTGTCTCCACAGAAAATTTAAAAATTAGCCAAGTGCAGTGGTGTGTACCTGTAGTCCTAGGTACTCAGGAGGCTGACGTGTGAAGATTGCTTGAGCCCGGGACCTTGAGGCTGTAGTGAGCCATTACACTCTAGCCTGAGCAACAGAACGAGACCTCGTCTCAAAAAAAAAAAAAAAAAAAGTCTCCATAACTACAGTTGTTACTTCTTCCAGAAAGAGAGTACCACAAAGAAGGTGAAAAAGAGTTAGATTATTATTTAATATTTTCTCAAAGTTGTACTTCTGTTTTTAGAGCACTCATTTTACATAAAATTGCATGCATCTTTCCTTAACATAGTATCAACGATTAGAAGAAAATATTGAATCAGGGATAACAAAAACAAGAAAATAAAATATTTACCAGACATACATAATGTTAGCATTTTGCTGTTTAATACATAATAAAATTTAGAACTATTTAATACAAAACAATTTACAATAGATTTTGGGCCTATATTTTAAAATATCAAAGATGGCAACACTTAGTCACTTGGGTAATGGAAAAGAAGACAGTGAATTTGCTAGAAAGTAAAAAAGGATGATTAAAGTAAGGGATAATATTTTCCAGTGTTTACAAATGAATGAAAATAAGAAAATAGGTTTAAATAATATAAGTAACATATAAACATAAGAATATGTCTATGGTCATGTAACTGTTGAGTAGCAAAGCCAGGGTTTTTAAAGTGTGGTTGACACCACAAAACTGATGCTCTTAATCATTTTTTTTTCTGCCTATGGCATTGGCTTTTGGGACAACATAAAGTCACACCTTACAACGCAAAGGTACAAAACTGAGGTACCTTTCGAAGCCTTGACTTTGAAACACGCAGTAAATCACTAATACATTTTTAAAAGATGGTTTTGGTTTCTTCTTATGAACTTCATTGAATTGAAGTACATAAAGTAATTCTATTCATCCACTTAATAAGCATTTACATAGTACTTATTCTACATCAGATACTATTCTAAGAATGTTATAAGCTACTTAATCTACAATAACCCTGACATAGGTCCCAGACAAGGAATGTGTGGCATAAAGTTAGATAGCTTGCTTAAGGCCAACTCAACAGCTAATAAGAGGTAAAGTCTAGATTTGAACCCTGGCAGACTGGATTCTGGTATTAACACTATGATGTCTCAGGAAGGTCCTCACATTCAATGATCATATTCATAATCTGCAATTGTTTTCTAGTCCTGCTAAGCCTCAAGGCTCATTTACATGGAACCAAGGTTTACATATATAAATGGATGTTGCTGTAATGAATGCTATCTTTTTATTTCCATTTGCAAGCTTAACATTAAAGGCTGATTGTTTCTGTTTAGCTTTGTACTAGCAATTAAAACATTCTGCCATTAGGTGGTGCCTTCTTTATGGCTCAAAACCTGCATGGAGGTTTCTTTAGGTATGATTCATTGAGAGGCTCAAAAGCAGGCTTTATATGCAAATTTATTTCTAGCAAACAAATATAAAAATTTGACTAGTAAAGTAGCCTACTAAATATGATGAACATTTAAAAAATCACCAGTCTCTCATTTAAGTAATTTTTAAACCCATTCTTCCCTCTTAGAATTATGAAAGAAAAAATATATAATTCCCAAACTTCCCACTCGGTAAAACTAATTCTTCATGCAGGTTGAAGTAAAAAAAATGATCCCTGTTTTTTGTTTATCACTTGGAGACCAAACAAGGCAGCCTGTTAGATAGTTTATTCCTATCCTTCCTAAACTGCAATTTTCTTTAACAACAAAAACAGCAGTAGCACCACCACCAGCAGCAACAACAACCACCATCTCCAAAGCATTTACAAAATGTTATGTATGTTCTAATGGCTTTGCATATTTTGGCCCATTTAATTCTCATAATAACTCTATGAAGTAGATACCACAACTGTCTCCCATTTTAAGGAGGAGAAAACTGAGGCTCATTACTGTTTCTAATTCTTTGCTGTTGTTATTACAAGAGCTAGTAAATTACCTAGCAGGGATTTGTTCGCGGGCATTCTGGTTCCAAAGAGCATGCCCTCTCATCACTAGGCTCTCCTGTTACTCTTTTACTAAATCAGAGCTTGCAAGCGGCACACTGTGAGTTCCTGGATTTTCCATGGTGGTTTCTCACTAGAAAAAGCCAGGGATTTCCAGCTTCATCCATGTCCCTACAAAGGACATGAACTCGTCATTTTTTATGGCTGCATAGTATTCCATGGTGTGTATGTGCCACATTTTCTTAATCCAGTCTATCATTGTTGAACATTTGGGTTGGTTCCAAGTCTTTGCTATTGTGAATCATTCTCAGCAAACTGTCGCAAGGGCAAAAAACCAAACACTGCATATTCTCACTCATAGGTGGGAACTGAACAATGAGAACACTTGGACACAGGAAGGAGAACATCACACACCAGGGCCTGTTGTGGGGTGGGGACAGGGGGGAGGGATAGCATTAGGAGATATACCTAATGTAAATGACAAGTTAATGGCTGCAGCACACCAAGATGGCACATGTATACATATGTAATAAGCCTGCACTTTGTGCACATGTACCCTAGAACTTAAAGTATAATAAAAAAAAATATATATATATATATATAAAAGAATGGAAATTTGAAAAAAAAAAAAAAAAAAAGAAAAAGCTAGGATAGGCAGGGAGCAAGAGGAGGAAGCCACTGAGTGATTACCAAATCTTTCTCCAACTTTCGTTATATATCCAACTTATTTACTCATGCATTCAACATTCCATTGAAATTTTTTTTAGTATGTACCCTGAGCCAGGCAAAAGTAGAAAGCAAAAGATGGAAGGCGTACATAACAGAGAACATTTCTCTAGTCTTTATCAGTATAAAAAAAGAGTTGACCAAGGCGGGCAGATCACGAGGTCAGGAGTTGGAGACCAGCCTGGCCAACATAGTGAAACTCCATCTCTACTAAAAATACAAAAATTAGCCGGGCATGGTGGCGCACACCTGTAGTCCCAACCACTTGGTAGTCTGAGGCAGGAAAATCTCTTGAATGTGGGAGATGGAGGTTGCGGTGAGCCGAGATCAGGCCACTGCACTCCAGCCTGGGCAACAGAGCAAGACTCCATCTCAAAAAGAAAAAAAAGAAAGAAAAAAAGATTTGATGTTCTTTTCTGATAAGACAGGAGTACAAACTGGGTACATTTTATTTGAGAAATGTATTGCTAATGATCTCACTTAGTTGAAAACTCATAATTCAATGCAAATATTGACAAAGTTGGTAACTATTTTCACTTACTTTCTAAAAAGACATCCCTTTGTAGAAATAACATAATTTATTATTCAATTGGCCCTTCAACTTTGACATTATGCTATTATTTATACATATTTAATATTAGAAGTTAAAACTATTTCTAATTTTTGAAATAAACTGGAAATATATTATTCTTTTATTTTGCTAACTTTCCAATTTATATAATTTAATTTCCCATAAAATAAAAACTCACGGCATGTATAAAATATTAAGAGAAGGAGATAAACTGTTTCCATGACTACATTAATTTCTTACATTTTAAAATCTGTGGAGAAAATTATCATGTTGTATATAAGTGTACAATTTTAAATCAGTTAATGAGATTTAACTCCTTTTAATAATTAACAATAACAGAAGCAAAAATACTAACAACCAATGAGTTTGGCAGAAAGGTTAGTCTGATGAGATACTGAAATTGACTAAACTGAAGAGAAGCTGTAAAATATAAGGAGAAGCGGGAGCCGTCTCCCTCCCTCTCATCTTTCTTTCATTTGTATAATTGCTAACTGCTTTTGTGCCACCAACTGCAAAGAGCAGGAAGCAGGATGAGGTCCATTCAAATGCACGCATTCAGGCCTAAGCACCCTCTCATCATTCTTTCTGACAGTGTTTTCTTCTGATTAGAAAGGGTTTCTACAGTGATACCTCTCCTCAAGTTCTGGGTCTTTATTGGGACTCTCCAAAAGCAGAGTTAGGTCTAAAAATACGATGACATCTTGACTGAGCAGGCAGGAACATAGTGGGCCTTTAGCATACTTAGGAATGTGCTTCTAAGTGTTTAAGATCCAAGTGTTGATAATGGAAGTCACATTATCAACATAATTGGTATCTATAGATGCTCTTTGGATTCCAAAGTCTCAGAGTAAATACACCCTACAGTAAGAGTATTATGATGTTTCTTGACTTTGAATCAAGGAAACATCATAAGCTTATAAGCTGCTTGGAGGTAGTGTCTGTATTTCATGGATATGTCCATCACTAATTAACAACTCTATCTTAATAGTAGCTATTGGCTGGGCATGGTGGCTCAAGCCTGTAATCCCAGCACTTCGGGAGGCCGAGACGGGCGGATCACGAGGTCAGGAGATCGAGACCATCCTGGCTAACACGATGAAACCCCGTCTCTACTAAAAATACAAAAAATTAGCCGGGCGTGGTAGTGGGCGCCTGTGGTCCCAACTACTCGGGAGGCTGAGGCAGGAGAACGGCGTGAACTCAGGAGGCGGAGCTTGCAGTGAGCCGAGATCGCGCCACTGCACTCCAGCCTGAGCGACAGAGCGAGACTCCGTATCAAAAAAGAAAAAAAAAAAAATGTAGATATCAAATGCTAAATTGCAAAAAACATAAATAACTGAGAATAAAAATCTATCTGCTCCTTTTCAAAATCTATATTTATATGTTTAAAAGATTTCTATGAATGATAAATTGCTTTATGTTTAGTAAAAGCTTATAGAAACAAAGTCACTGACTCTTAACTCAAAGGGTATGTGTGAGTGCCTAGATAGCTCAATAATAGCTTATTTTGTCAATAAAGATTTAATCCATTGGGAAAGGTAGCATATGCTATTTATCATACGGAGGCCAGAGGCTCAGTTATCACAAAAGAAACAGAATGTAGCTTGGATTGTGGGAAAACCACGGGCTTGATGGCAGAAATTTAAATCCCACCTCTACATCATACTAGCTGTATGACCTACTAATCACTCAAAACGTAAGTCTCCAGGGTGGATTTGTGATGATAATACCTGCTTTGCAGAATTATTTAAAAAGTCTTGGCACACAGTAGGTCCTCAGTAAAGGTTAGTTGTTCTTGATTGAGAAATTGCTATCAGAAATGTGCTAGTGACATCTAGTGGTAATTCCTGCAAATCTCAAGAAGGTCTCCCTTGCAACTCAGAGCCTCCCAACACAATGTCATGCGTTTGTTGTATCAACAAATGTTTAATAAACACTTCCTGTACTTAAGTCTCTTAAATCAGGTTCTGAAGATTGTAAAGATATAAAAGACACAATCCCTACCCTAGAAGATCTCTTGATTTAGTAAAACAGACACATGTAAGGCAATTAATATTTAAAAATGTAATAATTTCTATAGCCGCAGCTATAACAAGTGCAAATATGCCACAGAATAGGTAACTTCTTCTGCTGAATGAGATGCCATTTGTACTGGGTCTTAAAGAAAAACTAAAATTCCCTCATTACGTCTTAGCTGAAGAAGAGATGAGAAAATTTGGATATTTCTAAAATGGTAAGTTAAGGCCTCTTTGCTAAAGTCTCAGTTGATGAAGTTTAGCCCTTATCTTTGTGTGATGGGAAGGTAGTAATATTCTTCCATGAAAATGTCTTGTAATTATATTCCAATAACAATATAGAAGAGAGGCTGAAGATGGAAGAGGACAGAGGATGGAGAAACAATTAAGAAGTTATGATCATAATTTCCTTCAGAGATGATGAAGACACAAACTCATTCAACACGAATTGAGATAAACAGGAAGAAATAAAACTGAGATTGAAGTAGAGACTGCATAATGACCTTGAGAACAGGGAGTATAAGAGAGAAAGAAGTATGGTTGATTCAATGTTTTCTGCAATGAGTGACCCTTAAGTAGTAATACATTAAATGAAATAGAAAACTAAGCAGAAAGAACTTGTGTATGAAGGAGGAAAGAACAAAGATAATAAAGATTATCAATTCACTGTCTCTGTACAAATTTTTAAAACTTACAGAATAGTTAGGTCAAAATATCCAACAAGTAAATAAATACATAGGTCTGGAGATAAAGCTGTATTAGATAAAAACTTAAGAACCGTCAGAACACAGTCAAACTTTATAATCACTTAAGGTATGAGATTACTCAGAAAAAGAAAAAAAAGTGTCAAAAAAGGAAGGCCTACAAGACAAAGATCTTTAGGAAACGTCATTATTCAATGAGCAAAAATAAAAACTGGACTTGTCCTCAATTTTTCAGGACGATCTCTTAGTAAGTTACAGATACATGCTTAGACCACAAACATGGCTTTGGAAATAGCTTTGTGATAGGAATATCTCAGCAATACCGGAATATAACTTTTAGAAACACGTTAAAGCTGACTTTAAGGTTTAAAGGCAGAGCTATAAAGTGCTTTCCCCACAGTTACATGAAATAAGGCATATTTGAATGTCCTTTCATAACATAAAACTGGTTTATGCTTTAAGAGTAGCCCTTCCAAGGTTAGAAAGAAAATTTTATTTGACTGCATATAAAATGGACAGCTTTTCCATTTACCCTATTAAATTTGGCCATCTAGTTTTCTTTCCTTTTTTTTTTTTTTCTGTTTTATTGTCTTCTTCTTTCTCTCTTTTTCTCTTTTCCTTTCTCCTGATACAGTATTTCTTGCTTCAGTGATTCCCGGGAAAAGAGCCCAGTTGGTTTAATGTTTTATTATTACAGACTACCTCATGAATTATAGAGTATTAACTCTACATTGGTAGAGTTTTCAGGATGGAAAAGAAGAGTTATTCATGCTACTTAATACCTACAAATTTATGACCTCCTAAAATATATACAATCTTTATTTTATTTTTAAAATTCAAATTACTCCCTTTTATGTCACCTCCTATGTTAGCAGAAATTATGAAAAATACTTGTTCTATCAATTAATTGTATTGTCCAATGACTAATATTTTCTATATGCCAATGCACAGTTTCTTGGTCCTCATATTCATATATCACTTTTGTGTCATTTTAAAGAGTGTCCTTCCTTAATTATTACACATTAGTTTAAATACCATTTAACAATGTCATTTTAAAACCTATGTACTAAATCCACATGCATTACATAACTTCAGGCAATCAGTTAATCTTCTTTCCACCTGAATCAGCCTTATTTATTCAAAAGGGAATTACAGTTCAAGGTGGTCACATTAGATAAAAGTGATGAGTGTCTGCAGACCTTGTATAATTTAATTTTGACAAAGGATAACGGGTAATTTAACCAGCTGAGTTTGCCCCATAATGCAACAGCATAAACATGCTTTAAAATTCACTTGAATCACCAGCTTTAAAATTATGAAACTTGTCAAATTAAAAAAAATTCAACCACATTTAAAAATGGTTCCCATAAAATCAGGCTATATACTTATTTTTCTCACTATATCAAATTTTAATTTTAATAACTCAAATACACCTAAGAAGTGCCAACTATTATCATCATCTATATATTTAAGTAGGATATTATGGGAAGAAATTAAATTAAATATACTTACCAACTTTTACTGCTCTATTTATTTCTAAATGACCCCAAAATATAATATATGAAAGGCAAAAGGAAAAAAAAGAAGAATGAATGATCTATGTATGCAGAAAGAAACCAGTATCATTTGCTGTAAACCCAACTCTTAATGATCTTAAAGAAGAAACAACATTCAACTCAACAAACATTTATTGGGTACTTACTACATATTAGAAGCCATACTAGGTTTTATGAATATAAGTTGAATAAAACATTGTTCTCTAGGAACTCATAGTCTATTTGACAGACTGACAGAGATAAACAAAAAGTCACAGTACAATGTGATAAGCACAATATTACAGAAATAAGTGTCAAGTACTATTTTTGCAACTAGTAATTCCTGAGAAGTTTCTCCGTGAATAGGCCACTATTCAGTGTGGGATGTGGTGTTGAGTAAGTGGCTTTACACTTAGTGAGTAGAATGTCTACTGTCTTATTAATTCAAAGTGAAGTAACAGAAACAACAGTATTTAAAACTTTCCTAGTGAGTATTTTTATTGGTACCAGATATTGAGGTCATCATTTTTATAGGCAATTTTATTTTATCTATTCATAACAATCCTATAAGGAGCAAGCACTAAGTTTATTTTTTTCCTAGTGAAGAAACAACTGAAATATGAAAAGATAGGCAACTTGTTCAACATCACATTGCTCACTGACTCCATGTGTCTCAACAAATGTGTTAATTTTTTTTTAAATTCCATTTTTCTAGAATATAAAGTAAATCTACATTTCACTAAGTTTTTACATAACCAAGCATAGGACAACACTGATGATATGGTTTGGCAATGGTGTCAGATAACAGGTAGATGAGTTAAAATTGCTAAATTTCTTTAATTTGCTTAGTTTTAATCTAAGCAAAGGGCAGAACTTGTATAAGAAGCTCCAAAATACGTGCTATATAAAAAGTTTAATATACTATCCTGCCTTCTATTATATAATCATTCTTTGGTTTTGAGATAATTTAATGAATTTTTGTGTCATAGATGTCTTTGTCTGAAAAACAATACAACATATACAAAATTCTAATAAATTATTTTATGACCCTTTGTGAAACCATGGGCTCCATTAATGCCTAAATCTTAGCAGTTTTATTTGACTGGAGTTCTACATTAAAACATTTATGAATTACTCTGAAATGAATATTGAAGTTACTATATTCTCCAGGTAGCATCTAGTTGTTTTAAATTCCTTTATTTGCCATATTCTTAAATACACTTTTCACATTCATTTTCTTGTTGCCAACTCTTGAACTATTATTTTCAACATGACTATCACCTGTTTTATTCCATCAAAAGTCATTCATTAAAAAAGTCATATTCTTTTCAAGGCAAAATTGGAAGATAATTTGCTTTACTTAATGCTTTTGATCTCTCTACACTTTTGACACTTTTTTTTTTTAACTTAGGACTACCTACCCTCAATAATCTTTGGGACCTTTGCTTCCAGAAAATATACTAGGGCTAATAAGTTACTGTATTAGTTAGGTTTCTCTGGAGAGATAGAACATTTAGGAGACAGGTTAGATAAGGTGGTGGGTAGGTAGAAAGGTAGGTAGGTAGATACATGATAGATTGATACATCAATCAATAGATAGATAGATGAGAGGGGATATATTAGGGGAACTAGCTGAAGAAATCATCGAGCTTGAGAAGACCCTTGCTAGTCTGTCTGTGACCTGGAGAATAAGGGAAGCCAATAGTATGGCTCAGTCCTAGTCCAAAGGCCTCAGGACTAGGGAAATGGATGCTGTAACTCTCAGTCCAAGGCTAAATGCCTAAGAATGGGGTGGGGGTGTTGCTACAAGTCAGAGTCCAAGGGCCAGAGAATCTGGAGTTCTGATGTCCAAGGCAAGAGAAGAAGGGTGCCCCAGCTCCGGAACAGAGAAAGCAAATCTGCCTTTCTTCTGCCTTTTCATTCTATCTGAGTCCTCAGCTGATTTGATGGTGCCCACCCACACTGGGTGAGGGCAGATCTTCCTTATTCAGTCTACTGATTCAAATGCCAATCTTCTCTAGAAACACCCTCGCAGACATACCCAAAAATAATACTTTACCAGCTATCTTCGTATTCCTTGATCTAGTCAAGTTGACACCTAAAATTAACCATCACAGTTACTAAATATAACTTGTCAGAGGAGAAAGCAACAGTTTTGATAGGCCACCATTGGAAGCAAGAAATGAATAAAGAAACACTTGTCTATTTTTGATAAAAAAGAGGCTAACAGGTTGTATACAGTATGCACAGAACCTTAAAATTGACTGCTTGTGTTTCAACAAATATGTTAAATTTTTTAAGTACTATACGTCAGAGTATAAAGTAAATCTGCATTTCAATTTATTTTTATATAAAGCATAGGAGAACACTTATGATTTGGTTTGACAATGGTATCAGTTAATAGGCAGATGAGTTAAAATTGCTGTATTTCATTAACTTGCTCATTTTTAATCTAACATTCTGAGTAATTACAAATAAAAATACAAATTCGAATAAGCCATATATTTTCTCTCAACCATTTTAGAGGATACTCTTCAAAGTTCTATTTGTGACTATCTACCCCAATGCCATATAGAAATGGACAAGCAAATATATTGTGAATTTTCATTTGCAGAATATTATCTGATCCCTGTCTCTATAGCTTACAAAAGAGATTTACAGGCCACAATCAGGAATCACATATTGGCAATGATTTGATTTAAGAAATACAATGGATTAGATATACATTGGATCAGTAATATATAGAGAACTGTTTTAATTTACTATATTGTTAACATTTGTCTCTCTTCATAGGGTTAGTTGCTTTTAATCAATGAAAGATAAGACTTTCACCTCACTTCACTGAAATAGACTTGGATGTCTACTTGGATAACTGAGAAGCTAACTTTTCAATGATGGTCAGGACATCGGTATGGCAGAAATCAAGAGAAAATCAAAAGGAAAAGCTGATAGAGTCTACAAACTGCTTGTTTCAGGCAAATTTCTTATTTTCCTCACTCAATCCCTACTGATCAAAAAATAACAAAAGAAAATGGAAATGGTAGCCCAGCACTGCCCAACCTTAATTCTAGAAGGGCTATTACTGACATAACTTCCCTAACCACAGTGCCTTAATGTCTTTCCCACACACAATATTTCCAGATCATGAGAATCTTCTATTATATTACTGGTGGTAAATGTAAAAGATAGGCTAAATGGTGCTTTTATCATTCGAATTTTTTCTTCTTTTCAAACATCAAAAAAAAAAAAAAAAAGAGAAAAAGAAAATGCCTTTTTCTTAAACAAATTCCTGTTACTAAAGCATAATTACCATCATGCATTGCTTAACCAAGGGAATACATTCTAAGAAATGCATTGATGCCTGTAATCCCAGCACTATGGGAGGCCAAGGCGGGTGGATCACGAGGTCAGGAGATTCAGACCATCCTGACTCACATGGTGAAACCCCATCTCTACTAAAAATACAAAAAAATTAGCCAGGCGTGGTAGCATGCGCCTGCAGTCCCAGATACTCAGGAGGCTGAGGCAGGAGAATCACTTGAACCTGGGAGGTGGAGGTTGCAGTGAGCCAAGATCACGCCACTGCACTCCAGCCTGGGTGACAGAGCGGGGCTCTGTCTCAAATGAAAAAAGAAATGCATTGTCAGGTGATTTTATTATTGTGTGAACATCAAAGATTCGACTTACACAAACCTAGATGGCATAGGCTACTATACACCTAGGCTATGCGGTATAGCCTATTGTTCTCAGGCTACAAACATGTACAGCATGTTATTAGACTCAATACTGTAGACAACTGTAACACAGTGTTAAATATTTGTGTATCTAAGCATATCTAAACAGAGAAAAGCTACAGTGAAAATATGTTATCAAAGATAAAAAAAATACACCAGTATAGGGTAGCCCCATTACAGTCTTATGAAACCACTGTCATCTATGCAGTCTATCCTTGGGCAAAATGTCATTCTGTGGCACACGGCTATATTTGATTGAATCATGTAGCTGAACCTGGGAAAATTATACCACATTGTCAATAATTAGAAGTTATAATTCATCTATAGAGTAGATAGCTGATACCATCATTTGGAGGTTATCATGGAGGACAAAGTACAAACAAAAAAAGTAAAGAGGCTATCTAGCTTGCACAGAGTACAGTGGTGTGGAATTTGAGAAAAGAGAAATAGAATAAATAACTGTCCATTTTCCAAAAGACAGAGACCAAGACCAAATGGATGCACCTGACACATAAGTTTCTATTCTTTGTAATCCAACAATTCCAAAGCACATCAAAATAGTAGTTATAGTCATGTCTTGGATGAGATAACACCTATAGGCAATGAATAGGTAGGCAAGATAGACAGACCATGGGAAAGAGTAGAAAAAGAGGGAGAGAGAATAGAAGTGTTTAGTTAAGTGGAGATTAGTTAATGCTCTCAAGGAATGCCATTAGTCCAGAATTATTCAGTTGTGGTATGTCTATTAATTTCTCTCCTTATAAGTCATAGTGTATTGTTTAAGTTTTACACTGGAGACATATTTTCTAGCTTTGAATTCTGGCTTCCTGGGCTTACTAACTATGACTTCGGGAAAGTTATTCAAACACTTTCTGATTTCATTTCTTCTGTATTAAAATGAGAATAATCGTGACTATTTCTAAAGTTTACTGGAGAATTAAATGATTGAATATGTGTAAAGTGCTTACAACAACACCTGGCCCATGATAAGCACATAGTAAATGCTAACTCATTTTTTATGGCGAAGAGACAGGACCCTGTTTTTCTAGTGTTCAGAGTGAAATGTATCTTGCCACAGTCCTACAATTCCTTATCTAACATTCTGAAGGTCAAATGTATCTGGTAATTCAGAATTACTTTGATTATCAGATAATAATACAGAGCATTTACCACATTTTAAAAATATCCCCAGTAAGGTTTGGAGCAGCAGGCTGTACAAAACACTTTGATGTTTCTGCAGCAAAACATATAAATGTTCATGTGAAGTGAAAAAAAAACAAAAACCGTAAGTAGGTCTTTTAGTTTAGGACAGGTTTTTACCATCAAACTAGCTTGAGCCTCCCTTTGAGGAAAAAATAAACCAGTTTTCAGAGCACTTGGAATATCATAATTGCAGACAGGGAACTGTTTACAAGGGTTATTTTATTTTTATTTTGTTATTTTTATTTATTTTTTTGAGATGGATTCTCACTCTGTCACCCAGGCTGGAGTGTAGTGGTGTGATCTCATCTCACTGCAACTTCCTCCTCCCAGGTTCAAGCGATTCCCCTGCCTCTGCCTCCTGAGTAGCTGGGACTATAGGCATCCACCACCACACCTGGCTAATGTTTATATTTTTAGTAGAGATGGGGTTTCACCATATTGGCTAGGCTGGTCTCAAACTCCTGACCTTGTGATCCGCCCACCTCTGCCTCCCAAAGTGCTGGGATTACAGGCATGAGCCACTGTGCCTGGCCTATTTTTTTTTTTTTTTGTTTACTGTTAGTGGTTGGAATTTGAATGTGATCAAGTTTCAAAGTTATTGAAGAGAACAAGAAGCTCTTGGGTAAATAGCAGAGGGCAAAGAGGAAGCCCTTTTTTTGAGGGAAACAGATGATGTAGTCATATTACTTGTAGTGTATGTTATGTCCTCCCCTAATTTATACGGTAAAGCCCTATCCCCCAGGACCTCCTAATGTGGTTATATTTGGGGATAAGGCTTTTGAAGGATAATTATCTGACACAGAAAAGAAATACTTCATGTTCTATCATATAAGTGGGAGCTAAACTCTATATGAAGGTAAAGAGTGAAATGATAGACAATGGAGATTCAGAAGGGTAAGAGGGTAGGAGGTAGGTGGATGATGAGAAATTACTTAATGGGTACAATGTATATTATTCAGGTGAAGGATACCCTAAAAGCCCTGACTTCACCACCACACAATCTATGCATGTAACAAAATTACACCTGTACCACATGAATTTATACCAAAAAGAAAAATAAAATGAGGCTGTTAGGCTGGGCTCTAATCCTATCTGATTATTGCCCTTATTAGGAAATTTAGACACACAAAGGGACACCAGGGATAAGCAGAGTAAAGAGCATGTGAGAACACAGCAAGAAGGTGGTCATCTGCAAGCCAAGAAGGGAGGCTTGAGGAGAAACTAAACCTGCTGATTTTGAGCTGGCATAAAAGATTTCTAGCCTCCAGAACTGTGAAAAATTAAAATGATGCTGTTAAAGTCACCTACTTGGTGGTAATTTGTTATAGCAGCTTGAGCAGACAAATGTAGTGTATAGTAGCAATTCTACTTAAAGCTATTATTTTGAACACAACTATGACTTGTATAAGACTGAAAGTCTCTTACTGGGGGAACCCACCCCCAATATTTCAACATAGGTTCTGTCTATTTTCCATAAGTGTTGGCCAGCTGGGAAATAAAGAGAGATAGTACAAAGAGAGGAATTTTACAGCTGGGCTGCCAGGGGTGACATCACATATCGGTAGGACCGTGATGCCCACCTGAGCCTCAAAACCAGCAAGTTTTTATTAAGGGTTTGAAAAGGGGAGGCAGTGTAAGCACACGGAGTAGGTACAAATATCACATGCTTCAAAGGGCAAAAAGCAGAACTACCGATAAGGGTCCAACAAAAATCACAAAGCAAAGGGCAAAGCAGAACTACTGATAAAGGGCTATGTTCAGTGGTGCATATATTGTCTGGATAAACATTTTAAACAACAGAAAACAGGGTTCAAGTGCAGAGAACCGATCTGACCACAAAATTACCAGGGCAGAGTTTCCCAACCCTAGTAAGCCTAAGGGTACTGCAGGAGACCAGGGCTTATCTCAGTCCTTATCTCAAATGCATAAGACAGACATTCCCAGAGCGGCCGTTTATAGACCTCCCCCCAGGAATGCATTCCTTTCCCAGGGTATTAATATTAATATTCCTTGCTAGGAAAAGAATTTAGTGATATCTCTCCTACTTGCATATCCATTTATAGGCTCTCTGCAACAAGAAAAATATGGCTCTTTTTGCCCGACCCCGCAGGCAGTCACACCTTATGGTTGTCTTTCCTTGTTCCCTAAAAATCGCTGTTATTCTCTTCTTTTTCAAGGTTCACTGATTTCATATTGTTCAAACACACGTTTTACAATCAATTTGTACAGTTAACATAATTATCACAGTGGTCCTGAGGTGACATACATCCTCAGCTTACGAAGATAACAGGATTAAGAGATTAAAGACAGGCATAAGAAATTATAAAAGTATTATTTGGGAACTGATAAACGTCCATGAAATTATCATGATTTATGTTCCTCTGCCACAGTTCCAGCCAGTCCCTCCATTCGGGGTCCCTGACTTCCTGCAACAGTCTCTAATTCTTGGATTTTAATCTAATTGAGACAATTGTTTATATAATAGTTTGACAACACAATGTTTCTTAGGAGCTAAAAAATTAGAAATGCATTTTTTTCATTATTAGGTAATCTTATTTAAAAGGTTCCGATGACATATAGGTGAGGATGTGGTGATCACTGGGAAGGAACTGAGGGGCCCCTTTGGTATGATTAAAGGACAATGGTAAAAACTCATCAGAAGTGCTCATCTTTCATGGGGCTGAGTGACGACCAATGGCTGGAGATTGTTTCAAAGTGCTTGGAGGATAGGATGTGAACAGAGAATGGACCTAATGTCAAATAAATGACCTCGAAGGAGAGATGACTAAGGAATGGGAAGAAATTTGGAGATCTATTTCCAAGCTGAGAGAAGGGCAGCAAAGTTCTCCAGAGAAGAGCAGTGTTTTTCCGTTGTGGGTTTACAGGAACTAAATACGTTACACAGCAATGCCAAAAATTAAAAAGTGTAGATAGTTTACACAAGGATTATTTGTTCAATATGAAAATATAAACCAAAACAGAAAAAAAATCTTACTATGATATGATAAGTATCAAATAATGAAAATGTTTGTTTTCTTCTCTATATTTTTGAGGTGGCAATTAGCTTCTATTTGTAATTAAGAAGGGAATCATAAGAGTTCAACCTCATTTGGATATGAATAAATACTTTTCTGATAAAAGCAGGCTGAATCAGTTCAACCATCTGGAGTAGTATTTTCTTTTATATTAATTGACATAGTTAAAGAGCAAGAAATAATTACATGATCAGTTGCACACACAAAAACACTGTAAGTTTGTTTATGAATATACTTTCAAATAAATATGTGATGAAGCAAAATAAATATTATCATTTGTTTTTTGCCTTTTCAAATAAAAATATCTCCAAGGTTTAACTGATTCTAAAAATAACTTATGTGCCTTATAAAAACGACATCTAAATGCATATTGATTCAAAAGTCAAAATCCTTCTACTGTAATCCTTCTTGGTCCTCATCTCTTTGTAAAATCCGCTGTAAAGCTACAAAATCTTACTTATATCCAGATTAAAAAGAAAAGACATAAACAAGAAAAATATGCTTCATTTCAGAACCCTGAAATCACAAACTCTAACCTTGCTGTACGAAGCTACAATGTCATAAAATCTGCCTAATCCCTGCCTATTCTCAACCTTGCAATACCTCTCTTTAACTAACCCAGCCTGGATTTTAACATCTTACAAAATATCTTCCCTTAATTTTCCCATTTAGAGACTTACAGAAACTTTGTTAATGTAGTGTTCTTTTTTTATTGCATGGGATCTAACATACCTAGCTTTGTTCAATCAACAGATTTTTTTCATTCTGGTCTTTTGTGGCATCAACAGTGAAAAAATTGTAGAGCTATAACACGGGGTGAATTGAAACCGATCTGCACGAGCTCCTCTGTCTGAAACATGTTTCTCTGAGGCCTCATAAGTCTCCCCCATTCAGGGGTCTGTCTGACTGCAAAAGTGAGGAAAATCCTGCTTTGGGTCTAAATTTATTTTTGTCAGTCTCTCAAATACAAAGTTTCTGCCTCTTAGGAATGAGAATGCTTTTTAAGTAATCCTTTGATTATTTAATCAACTTCAAATCCACTTATCCGTGATGAGAAACCTGCTCTGTTACTTAGGACACTACTGTTTGTTTTTGTCACTCTCTGAGTCACTAAGAGGTATAGTTCTAAAGACTCAGGAGTTCAGAAGTTCTTGATGTCCTTTAGACAAATTACTTTGATTACCTTTTCAAAACCTTTCTCAATCTTGTCTTCATTTGTTCCACTTAGTTTTATTTTGCTTGGAGGTAGAGGGTTTGTCAGGCCCCCAACCTGGTCTTTTTTTTTTTTGAGACGGAGTCTTGCTCTGTCCCCAGGCTGGAGTGCAGTGGCACGATCTCAGCTCACTGCAACCTCCGCCTCCCGAGTTCAAGTGATTCCCCTGCCTCAGCCTCCCAAGTAGCTGTGATTACAGGCACATGCCACCATGCCCAGCTAATTTTTGTATTTTAGGAGAGACAGGGTTTCACCATGCTCAACCTGGTCTTAAACCAGGTTCTTAAGAGGTTGCCCCAGCAAAATTTTCATGTGCTCTTATCAGTTCTTTTGACCTTTCAGGTCAAATTCCTGCTTACTTTTAAGTTTAACTTATGTGTGTATGTCTCCAACTGGCATAATCCTACCAGGTACAATTTAAATTAGTGTCCCTTTTGGGGAACTCTATCTTGGAAACATGATGGTTGAACTGTTTCTTCATGTAATTGATTAGTGCTCAAATTACTGCTTAATCTTGTTGTAAGTATTATTTTGTGTGGCTTTCTATGCATGTGCGTGTCTATGTATGTAATGGATTTCTTATATTTAAGGCTGTTTTATCATCCCACAGTGATTTTGTGTCTGTCAGAAGCTGGCTCCCCCTCACTTGTTTCCCTTCCTTTCTCTCTTTTTTTTCCTGTTTGTCTTGCAAAGTATTTTTCTGTCACTATGTGCCTACTCTAGGCATATATCTGATCCAGATAACCAGTCAAACACTTCCAAAGAAGAAGAAAAAAGTTAAACTGAGTGTACTGTTATTTTTTTCCCCATTTGAGACACTACTGTGATCTTTCTTACTGAAGTAGATCTACTAAGCTTAGTTTTGCTTGATCAACAGGTTTCTTTGAGGTCATTTCTTGGAAGGTCAGTGATCTACAAACATAGAAGAGATCTTCAAAATCCAATCTGAAGATGACCCAGAACATATATAGGATGTGAAAAACAGCTTACAAAACCTATAGTCCTTAAGCACTGCCTTCAATAAACAATGCCATAAGTAGAAAAGGTAAATATTTTTTCTCTCATCTGTAATATAACATGTGGAAATAGAATATTTGAGGTTAAATAAAGATTCCAAAGTAGAATTTTTTGCCATATTTGGGATTTGCTACCTCAGAACCGATTTGGAATGTAAAATCCTTTAAAAATCAGACCTGGCATAGGATATCATTGATTGTCATGGTGTGGACTAGTCAACGCAGACAGTAAAATCTCTGAATAGCATGACACTCAAACACTCTCTGACAGAAGAAAATATGAAGGAAAGACCTGATTATATAAATAATAATAATAATAATAGTAACTGTTGCCATGTATTGGGTGCTTCCTATGTGCCAGACACTACTCAAAGAGCTTTATGCATATTAACTCATTTTCTCAACAAACTTTTGAAACAGGAACAATTATTATGGTCTTGTAATGTGTAGTTCTTTTAATTAAATGTTGATTTATAATGAGGACCAAACTGATTTTTTTTTTATCTTGCCCAAATTCCTATATAAAGGGTCTGGGGAGTCATGCCCTACAAATCATAAATTCTCATCAGATGGGTTTTATTTAACTCTATATATTGTGACTTACTTTCCAACCTGACTCTGGCATAACATTACAAGACAAGGAAGAAAATCAAAATATTTTACCCCAAAACATGTTTCTTTGCCATGTCTTGAAATGGCCCTGCAAAGCTGTCTTTTGTGGAGGAAAATCAGCATCTGTAAAGAATCTCTACTAACATAGCTAGTTTTTTTTCTTCCTGGCCCTCCCAAGCCTAAAGAGATTAACTAAGTCTGCACCTTTTAAAGATCTGAATAGGAAACCCTTGTCATCTATTGTCTCTAAGAGCAGCCACTATAAGACCTCAAAAGAACCTTGGTCTCCACAGTCTTTTATCTTAACCTGAACACTTCCTTTCTGTCATCCCAGGTCTTTAGATAAGCTCAACCAATTGTCAAACAGAAAATGTTTAAATTTACCCATAGCCTGGAAGCAGTCCCCACCCCACCCCCTGCTTTGAGTTGTCCCACCTTTCTGGACCAAACCAATGTATTTCTTAAATGTATTTGATTGATGTCTCATGCCTCTCTAAAATGTAAAAAACCAAGCTGCGCCCCAACTACCTTGGACATGTGTTCTCAGGGCCTCCTGAGGGCTATGTCATGGACCATGGTCACTCATGTGGCTCAGAATAAATCTCTTCAAATATTTTACAGAGTTTGACCCTTTTCATTGACAATAAGTATAAAGATCGTTTACTCTCCTTATTGCCTATCAATTCTGAGTTTTGAGATATTTTTTACTGAGTCCTTAAAGGGTCTCTTGATCTTAAATTCACACTGTTCATCAGATACATCTTAGTGGTGGGCTATAGGCACCAAACCACTGAAAAATTCTATATATTTCCCAAAAAATTGTCATCACTGATATTATACAAGATTTTCTTATTCTACTAAACTATACAGAAACTAAGAATGGGATCTCTAAAGTTGAACTGAAGTAGAAAAATTCAAGATAGTGTATTCTGCATATTAGACCATAAAGAAAACATACAAGTAGAAGCAAGTTTTGCACAAAAATTATCAAAGAAAACTTGTAATCATGATCAATTTCTTATGGAAGATTCTTTTTATTCAATGCACAAGGCTATAAAATAAGTATAGTTATCTCCTATAATTTCCAAATTATACAAAATACTAGACCTTAAGGGAACAATAGTGCTTAATGATTTTTGCTAACTCTTATTTCCAAGAATAGTACATTTTCTTCAATTTTAGTTCTAGTCTTGGAAGTTGTGTATTTTTCTTCTTTTATCCCTTTAAAAAAACAATTCTCAGCTGGGCGCGGTGGCTCACGCCTGTAATCCCAGCACTTTGGGAGGCCGAGGCGGGCAGATCACGACATCAGGAGATCCAGACCACCCTGGCTAACATGGTGAAACCCCATCTCTACTAAAAATACAAAAAATTAGCTGGGCGTGGTGGTACATGCCTGTAGTCCCAGCTACTCAGAAGGCTGAGGCAGGAGAATGGCATGAACCCGGGAGGCGGAGCTTGCAGTGAGCAGAGATCACACCACTGCTCTCCAGCCTGGGCAACACAGCAAGACTCCATCTCAAAAAAAAAAAAAAATTATCTCCAGTGATCTTTTGGGCAAGAGAAAAGAGTGACTTTGCTTAACTCAAGCAATAACCTAGTCCTAAAGTAGTCTGATTCATAATTCTAATTAAGTTATAAATGGAAAGAGAAATTGTTTGTGATTTTTATTTTGTTCCAGTTGAAATCATTCTTGTGCTAATGTTGCAGGTTGGCAAGTTACTTTGAAATTCAGAATATAATTTATCTGATTCTCAGAATTTTCTCTTTTGGAGAGAATTAAAATGATTTTCAATTTCAAGTAGAAATATTTAATTCCTCAAAAGATAAACAATGCAAAGTCTATCCAAGTCTATTAGCAAAGGCATAAAGTCCACTATCAGAATAAAATAATTCCTTTCTTTAGGATGTTATATATTCAAATGATACTTTACATCAATAAAGAATCTTGAAGTATTATTTTCAATGATTAATGAATGTAAATATAAAACAGGGCTGGGAAAAGAGTACTTAACTAAACATTGATTTTCAATCTGCCTTTTTCAACTGTCTCTAATTATGTTTCTTTAAGTCTCTGAGGTTTGTATCATCAGTAATTTCCTATTTATGGTTTTCAGCAAAGAAAATGGAGAATCAGCACACTGTAATCCAGCAGAGAAAGTTAGTGAAGCATTCTGGACTCTAAAACAGATAACAGGTTATAAGATATGCTCATTATTTTCTTGAGAATGATACATTCATAAATCATCTATTTTAATAATTTAAAATGTACACTTTTTTCCTAAGTGTCTATAAGAATCTATCTGTACTTGCAATCCCACAAACAAAAGTGGGATTTTTAAATATCAATGGCATGATCACACAAATATCATCAACTGAAAAATTTCCAAAACACAAGCGGGGATTTTTGCAGTAATGGAATGAGTATGTCTATAAAGTTATTGATCATATTTCTAAATACTTCTAGAAATTATCTAAAGTGTTAATTCTCTTTCTGATGTTTAAGAAGCATTTTTATAATCAGTTTTATAAGAGTATAAACTATCTAAAATATTCAAGTGTACCAATATTAACCTTTTTTCAGAATTTCAGATTAATAAGATCAACATTATCCCTGCCAAGACTGTTCATCACTTTAAGAGATCTGAGTCATGCAAATTATATAAAAGTGATCCTTGATCACTACACATTTGTACTTCATTTGCATAGCCTCTATGGTTCCTGAGTTTCTGTAACTTCCAATAACAGCCTTAATCCAAAAGTTCCAATAGCCAGTGTCTTTCATATTAGCTTATCACATTCAATAGAATTTCAGAAGCTAAATATTTATTCCTGATTTAGATATTCAACCATAATTATTAGTTCTCTTCATCATGATATAAAGTCACATATCATGTGATTTTAGACCTGTGATACAGAATATTCAGAATACCGATGGTTGGGCATTTTTGAGGTAGGGTAAAAATAAAGACAATCCGCCATTAAAAAACTGTGCACACAGGCACCGGCTGGACACTGGGAAGGACCTGGCACTTGGAGTCCGGACATCTGAAACTTGGTAAGACATGTCTTTGAAACTTGCCCACTCCATTTAAGTGGAAGCGTGGCCTGATCACCCACGGTGTGCCTGTGTCGGCACTTCTGTTCTGGTTTTGACTTGACTTGAATTGCCTGATACTTTGGTTTTGGTTTTGACTTGGCTTGAATTTCTTGGTACTCTGATTTTGTTTTGGTATAAACGATAAAGGTGTGTGTGTGCCCTCTTTACCTGTTCTTTGTTTTGTGGTGAGTGTGTGGTGTGAGCATGATATTTTGTCTTCAGAAAACATGGGCCAGGCAAAATGTAAGCCCACTCCATTGGGAACTATGTTAAATAATTTCAAGAAAGGATTCAAAGGAGACTATGGAGTCACTATGACTCCAGGAAAACTAAGAACTTTGTGTGAAATAGATTGGCCCGAATTAGAGGTAAGTTAGCCATCAGAAGGAAGCCTGGACAGGTCTCTGGTTTCAAAGGTATGGCATAAAGTAACTGGCAAGCCAGGACACCCAGATCAGTTCCCATATATAGATTCCTGGTTACAGCTAGTTTTAGATCCCCCATAGTGGTTAAGGGGACAGGCAGCAGCAGTACTAGTAGCAAAGGGACAGTTAGTTAAGGAAAGTTCTCACTCCACCTGCCGAGGGAAGCCAGCCCCTAAAGTTCTGTCTGATTCAGAGCCTGAAGACTCATGGCAGGAGATGGCACCAACAGTGCCCCACCTTTACCAAGTGGAAAGGCCCCCTACTCCTGAGCCCACAGCCCCTAGACCACACAGAGTAGACAAGAAAGGAAGAGAAGCTGCAGGAGAAACTCCTCCCTTGGCGGCCCATTTACGGCCCAATACTGGAATCCAAATGCCCCTGAGAAAGCAGCAATATGCTGGGATAGATGAGGATGGACATACAGTGGAAAGGTGTGCTTTTTATATTACCCTTTCACCTCTGCTGACCTCCTCAACTGGAAAAATAATATTCCATCTTACACTGAAAAGCCTGAAGCTCTAATTGACTTGCTCCAAACTATTATACAGACTCATAATCCTACTTGGGCTGATCACCACCAGCTACTCATGTACATCTTTAACACAGATGAAAGGTGAAGGATACTCCAGGTGGCAACTAAATGGCTAGAGGACCATGTCCCAGCTGATTACCAAAATCCTCAGGAATACATAAGAATTGTTCTGCCAGGAACAGACCCTCAATGGGATCCAAATGAAGGACCAGATATGGAGAGGTTAAAACGATACTGGGAGGCATTAATTGAAGGGCTGAAAAAAGGGGCTCAGAAGGCCACCAATGTAAATGAAGTTTCTGAAGTCATCCAAGGAAAGGAGGGAAGCCCAGACCAATTCTATGAAAGACAGTGTGAGGCCTATCGTATGTACACTCCTTTTGATCCGGATAGTCCTGAAAATCAGCATATGATTAACATGGCCTTAGTTAGCCAAAGCATGGAAGATATCCGGAGGAAATCGCAAAAACAGGCTGTTTTTGCAGAGATGAATACCTCGCAGTTACGGGAGATAGCTGATCAAGTATTTGTAAATAGAGATGTAACAAGCCGCTGAGAAAGCCATAAGGAGGGTGAAGGCCAGGCCAGGCAGAACACTGATTTGCTGGCTGTGGCAATTAGAGGGATCCCCCCCAAAGGGCAGGGAAAGGGGGGTTCCAGGAGGAATGCCCAGTCCAATCACTCACATGTGCAGTGTAACCAGTGTGCCTACTGTAAAGAAATAGGACATTGGAAAGATAAGTGTCTCCAACTAAAGGAGAAGCAAGGTGACGCACAGCAAAAGACCACAGATAAAGACGAAGGGACTTTGTTCAATCTGTTCGAAGGGCTACTAGACTGAAGGGGACCGGGCTCAAATGCCTCCAAGGAGCCCATGGTCAGGATGACAATAGGGGGCAAGGACATTAAGTTTTCGGTTGATACTGGTGCCGGACACTCAGTAGTAACCACCCCAGTGGCCCTCTTATCAAAAAAACCATTGATATAATTGGAGCAACGGGAGTCTCCGCCAAGCAGGTTTTCTGCCTACCTTGGACCTGCTCAGTGGGAGGACATAAAGTGACTCATCAATTTCTGTATATACCTGATTGCCCCTTGCCTTTTTAGGGAGAGACTTGCTTAGTAAGCTGAGAGACACCATTTCCTTTACAAAACAGGGCTCTTTACAACTGAAGTTACCAGGAACAGGAGTTATCATGGCCCTTACAGTCCCCTGAGAAGAAGAATGGAGACTTTTTCTAACCGAGCCAGGTCAGGAGATAAAACCGGCTCTAGCTAAGCGATGGCCCTGAGTATGGGCGGAGGACAATCCTCCAGGGCTGACGATCAATCAAGCCCCAGTACTCATACAAGTTAAGCCTGGGGCTCAGCCAATTAGACAAAAGCAGTATCCGGTTCCCAGAGAAGATCTTGAAGGAATACAGGTTCATCTTACATGCTTGAAAGCTTTTGGGATTATAGTTCCTTGACAATCTCCATGGAACACCCCCCTCCTACCTGTCCCCAAGCCAGGGACCAAGGACTATCGAACTGTACAGGACTTACGCTTGGTTAACCAAACTACAGTGACTCTACACCCAACAGTTCCTAACCCTTACACACTGTTAGGATTGCTGCCAGCTGAGGACAGCTGGTTCACTTGTCTGGACTTGAAGGATGCCTTCTTTAGCATCAGACTAGCTCCTGAGAGCCAAAAGCTGTTTGCCTTTCAGTGGGAAGATCCGGGGTCAGGTGTTACTACTCAGTACACTTGGACTCGGCTTCCCCAGGGGTTTAAAAATTACCCCACCATCTTCGGGGAGGTGTTGGCTCGAGACCTCCAGAAGTTTCCTGCTAAAGACCTAGGCTGTGTCTTGCTCCAGTACGTGGACAATCTTCTGCTAGGACACTCCACGGCAGATGGGTATGCCAAAGGGACGGATGCCCTGCTTCGACACCTGGAGGACTGTGAGTATAAGATGTCCAAGAAGAAAGCTCAGATCTGCAGACAGCAGGTACGCTACCTGGGATTCACTATTCGGAAAGAGAAGCACAGCCTGGGGTCAGAAAGAAAGCAAGTCATCTGCAGCTTACCGAAACCTAAAACCAGAAGGCAAGTAAGGGAATTTCTAGGATCTGTGGGGTTTTGCAGATTATGGATTCCAAACTTTGCAGTGCTAGCCAAACCGTTGTATGGGGTTACAAAGGGGGGCAACTGGGAGCCTTTTGAATGGGGACCTCTGCAACAGCAAGACTTTTGCAAGTTAAAGGAAAAACTTATGTCAGCCCCAGCCTTAGGACTACCAGATTTGACAAAGCCCTTTACACTCTATGTGTCAGAAAGAGAAAAAATGGCAGTTGGAGTTTTAACCCAAACTGTGGGGCCCTGGCCAAGACCAGTGGCCTACCTCTCAAAACAGCTAGACGGAGCTTCAAAAGGCTGGCCTCCACGTCTGAGAGCCCTGGCAGCTACAGTCCTGTTAGCATAAGAAGCAGACAAGCTAACCCTTGGGCAAAACTTAAGTATAAAGGTCCCCCATGTGGTGGTGACTTTAACAAATACCAAAGGACACCATGGGCTAACAAATGCTAGATTAACCAAGTACCAAAGCTTGCTATGTGAAAACCCCCGCATAACCATTGAGGTCTGTAACGCTCTGAATCCTGCAACCTTACTCCCAGTATCAGACAGCCCTGTTGAACATAACTGTGTGGAAGTGTTGGACTCAGTGTATTCTAGCAGACTCGATCTTCGAGACCAGTCATGGGCATCAGTGGACTGGGAGTTATACGTGGATGGGAGCAGCTTCATCAGTCCACGAGGAGAAAGATGCGCAGGATATGCGGTGGTAACTTTGGATGATGTTATTGAAGCCAAACCATTGCCTCAGGGCACTTCAGCCCAGAAGGAAGAACTCATTGCTTTAACTCGGGCTCTAGAACTTAGTGAAGGTAAGACTGTAAACATTTATACTGACTCTTGATATGCCTTTCTAACCATTCAAGTATATGGAGCATTATATAAAGAAAAAGGCCTATTAAATTCGGGGGAAAGGACATAAAATATCAACAAGAAATTCTACAATTATTAGAGGCAGTATGGAAACCCCAAAAGGTGGCAGTCATGCATTGCAAGGGACACCAGTGAGCTTCCACCTCAGTGAGCCAAGGAAACCCCTGAGCAGACACAGAGGCAGGAAAAGCAGCATCTACTCCTTACCGGGCATCAGTCACAGCCCCCCTACTCCCTCAAACACCTGATCTGGTGCCTACTTCTTCTAAAGAGGAAAAAGACTTTCTTCAGGCAGAGGGAGGACAAACAATAAAAGAAGGGTGGATACAGTTACCAGATGGAAGAATAGCTGTGCCACAGCTGCTAGGAGCTGCAGTCATGCTGGCTGTACATGAAACTACCCATTTAGGCCAGGAGTCACTTGAAAAGCTGTTCAGCCAGTATTTCTACATCTCACACTTGCCAGCTCTTGCTAAAACAGCAGCACAGCAATGTGTTACCTGTCGACAGCACAATGCAAAGCAAGGCCCCTCTGTTCCTCCTGGCATACAAGCCTATGGAGCAGCTCCCTTTGAAGATCTTCAAATGGACTTCACAGAGATGCCCAAATGCAGAGGTAACAAGTATTTACTGGTTCTAGTGTGTACTTACTCTGGGTGGGTAGAGGCTTATCCAACATGAACTGAAAAAGCTCATGAAGTAACCCATGTGCTTCTTTGAGATCTCATCCCTAGGTTTGGACTGCCTCTACGGATTGGCTCAGAAAATGGGCCAGCATTTGTGGCTGACTTAGTACAGAGGACAGCAAAGGTATTGGGACTCACTTGGAAGCTACATGCCGCCTACCAACCTCACAGTTCCGGAAAGGTGGAGCAAATGAATCAGACTATCAAAAATAGTTTAGGGAAAGTATATCAAGAGACAGGATTAAAATGGATACAGGCCCTTCCTATGGTATTATTTAAAATTAGGTGCACCCCCTCTAAGAAAACAGGATACTCCCCTTATGAAACATTATATCATAGGCCTCCTCCTATACCGCGAGGACTTCCAGGTACTCCCCAAGAGTTGGATGAAATTGAATTGCAGAGACAGTTACAGGCCTTGGGGAAAATTACCCAGACAATCTCAACTTGGGTAAATGAGAGGTGCTCAGTCAGCTTATTCTCCCCAGTTCACCCTTTTTCTCCAGGTGACCGTGTGTGGATCAAGGACTGAAATGTAGCTCCCTTACGGCCACAGTGGAAGGGACCCAAGACCGTTATCCTGACCACTCCCACAGCTGTGAAGGTAGAAGGAATTCCAGCCTGGATTCACCACAGCCACATAAAGCCCGCAGCCACTGGAACCTGGGAGGCCAAACCAAGCCTAGACAATCCCTGCAAAGTAACCCTGAGGAGGACGACAAGCCCTGCTCCAGTCACACCCGGAAGCTGACTGGTCTACGCATGGCTGAAGCATGAGGAAAATAGTCGTGGGACTTATTTTCCTTATAACATGGACTGGTGTGGTAAAAGCTTCCACTGCTTCTTCCCACACAGAGGACTGCTTTCAGTGCATATATCAGGTCACTGAGGTAGGACAACACGTTAAGACAATTTTTTTTGTTCTATAGTTATTATGAATGCCTAGTAATTCCAAAAGGAACATGTTTGTATAATAACACTCAGTACAAAGTCTGTAATCCAGGAAGTGACCAGCCCGACGTGTGCTATGACCCCTCTGAACCTCCCATTTCCATAGTTTTTGAAATCAGATTAAGGACTGAAGACTAGTGAGGACTCATAAATGATACAAGTAAAGTATTAGCCAGAACAGAAGAAAAAGGGGTGCCCAAACGCATAATCTTATAATTTGACGCTTGTGCTGTCATTAATAGAAATAAGCTAGGAGCAGGATGTGGCTCTTTTAATTGGGAAAAAAGATACATGACCGAAAATAAGTACATCTGTAGGATTGTGTGGAAAAAAATGTGGGTACTGGTCATGTGTCATTTGGGCTACTTGGGAAAAGGATGAAGAAGATCCTGTTTGGCTCCAAAAAGGGAAAGGAAGCCCCTCCTGCATGAGTGGAAGCTGCAACCTTTAAGAATTAGTAATCACAAACCCCTTGGACCCAAAATGGAGAAAAGGAGAGTACGTATCTCCAGGCATTGATGGAAAAGGACTAGACCCTGAGGTAAATATTTTAATAAAAGGAGAGATTCGAAAATGCTCTCCAGAGCCAGTATTTCAGACTTTCTATGATGAACTAAATGTGCCAGTACCTGAAATTCCAGGAAAAACTAGAAATTTGTTTTTGCAATTAGCCGAGCATGTAGCTCAGTGTCTAAGTCACTTAATGGTATGTTTGTGGAGGAACTGTAACAGGAGATCAGTGGCCATGGGAAGCCCAAGAATTAGTTCCTGCAGACCCAGTTCCTGATGAATTCCCAGCCCAAAAGAACCACCCTGACAATTTCTGGGTTCTAAAAGCCTCAATTATTGGACAATATTGCATAGCTAGAGAAGGAAAAGAATTCACTCATCCTGTAGTAAGGCTTAGGTGTCTTGGACAAAAACTGTATAATGGTACCACAAAAACAGTTACATGGTGGAGTTCCAATTACACAGAAAGAAATCCATTCAGTAAATTTCCAAAATTGCAGACTGTTTGAGCCCACCCAGAATTCCGCCAGGACTGGATTGCCCCCAGCAGGTTATACTGGATATGTGGACATAGAGCCTATGCTAAGCCACCTGATCAGTGGACAGGTAGCTGTGTAATTGGCACTATTACACCACCTTTCTTCCTACTGCCCATAAAAACAGACAAACTCCTAGGATTCCCTGTCTATGCTTCCCGCGAAAAATGAAGCATAGCCATAGGTAACTGGAAAGATGATGAATGGCCCCCTGAAAGAATTATACAATACTGTGGACCCACCACTTGGGCACAAGATGGCTCATGGGGATATCGGACCCCCATCTTCATGCTCAACTGAATCATACGGTTGCAAGCTGTTTTAGAAATTATTACTAATAAAACCTGTCAAGTCTTGACTGTTCTTGCCCAGCAAGAGACTCAGATAAGGAATACTATCTACCAAAATAGACTAGTTCTGAACTACTTGCTAGCAGCTGAAGGAGGAGTTTGTGGAAAATTTAACCTTACTAATTTCTGTTTCCACATAGATGATCAAGGGCAAGTAGTTGAAGACATATTTAAAGATATAACAAAACTGGCACATGTACCCATGCAAGTGTGGCACGGATTTGATCCTGGGGCCATGTTTGGAAATTGGTTCCCAGCAATAGGAGGATTTAAAACTCTTATCATAGGAGTTATAATAGTAATAGGAACCTGCTTACTACTCCCTTGTTTGCTACCTGTACTTCTTCAAATGATAAAAAGCTTCATCATTACCTTAGTTCACCAGAATGCTTCAGCACAAGTATATTATATGAATCACTATCAATCTATTGCACGGGAAGACATAAGTAGTGAAAATGAAAGTGAGAATTCCCACTAATAAAATGAGTGAGAGTCTCAAAGGTGGGAAATGAAAGAAGAGAGAAAGAGATCCCCCCATATTGTTTTATATTGTTTTATATTCAGTACCTGCTTTAAGAAGAAACAAGGAAGTGAAACCAAAGGCAGGCAGCCCAGAGCCAGGCACCAGACCCAAAACCAGGCCTGGGCCTGCCTGACCTTAGCCTGATAGTTAAAATTCAACCCATGACCTAGCAACCGATATTATCCACAGATTCCAGACATTGTATGGAAGGACACTCTGAAGCTTCTCATTCTGTTCTGTTTCACTCTGATTGCTGGTGCTTGCAGCCCCTGTCACATACCGCCTAGATTGTTCAATCAATCACGGCCCTTTCATGTAAAATCTTTAGTGTTATGAGCCCTCAAAAGGGACAGAAATTGTGCACTCAACAAGCTCGGATTTTAGGATGCTAGTCTGCTGATGCTTTCAGCTGATTAAAAGCTACTTCCTTCACTACCTCGGTGTCTGTGGGGTTTTGTCCATGGCTCGTCCTGCTACAGGCACACACAGAAGCTTTAATACTTAAACAAAAACTGGCCTTTGGAAAACAAAAAAACTACCTAAAATAACAAAGGTATTTTAAAGTCTTTTAAGAAAAATTACAGTAACTTAGTATTATCCACACTTAATGAAAAAAAAAATGACTTATCTATGTGTCTTACCCAGTGAATTTCACTGAGGTTTTTCTATGAGTTGCAAAATCCCACTGGATGCAAGAAAATTGTTTATAATCAGTTAGAAATATCTGTTAAACAATCACATTTTGTATAGCATTCTACTAATCTCCCTTTTTAAACAAGCTTTTTATTATCTATTATAATCAGCCCCCTCAAATTGTATACACAATATGCACGTATAAAAATGTAAAAATACCAATATAAATGGGGTTATTTCATACAGCTAATAACTATTTTTGTATATTTCACAATTTAGCAATTTAGGTGTTACCTATCTCTATTTCCTTCAGAAAAGTAATTTACATTTTAATCACTTCTCCTTAACTTATATTTTTATACAGCATATAGTTTCAAATCTAGCCTTCCTGTCTGGCAATTCGTTTTTTAATGGTATTTACCACTTAGCTAAATAGCATATTACTGTCTACTTCATTTTCTATGAATACTCTGTTTTCATTACTTCAATAAGTAAATAGAATATTTTAAATGACACTTCTTAAATCTTCTTATAAATATTTGGTAATAAGCCCTTGATATTGCATCCATCAACACCTATGGGGAATAGCTGTCATTTGAACTAAGAAATTAATTCATCATAATAAACAATTATTGTCATTTATCAATCATAATAGCATTACAATGAGAAATTCTAAGAAATCATTTGGAGTAAGAGTTTTCTAAACCCTCACATTTCAATTTAACATAATCAGAATTACATTGTACATCTTGTTATGCACACACATCCTAGAACATAACAAATGGAAATTAGATACATACACGTCCCATTTCTTAAGCAAGTGAGATCACAAGGTCCTTAACATAGTAATTGTACTCTTTGTTTACAGGTCATCTACCATTGAGACTTGAAAAGAACAGTTTTTACAACATACTTCACCTAATTGTCTTATACCTCCCTGAAGTTTCTTATCTTAGAACATACTAGGCCTCTTAGTCACAGGGAAAGTTAAGGTAAGTAGTTACATTGAATAGAAATATGCTTAAGTAACCCAGTGCTGCCCTAAGTGGAAGTTAAGTAGTTGTTTTGAATTTTAATAGTTGACATTTACTTTCTGGTCATGAATTAGAGATGTCAAGTGCAGAAGACATTACTGGATTATGGTTAATTTGATGATCTTAGCTTTTTACAATTATTCCACTACCCTGAGGGAGAAGGCCAAAATCAGTGTTGTCCCTTCTATGGAGATGTATACATTAAATTGTAAATTATTACAATTTTGACCTTCAGAGAAATCACAAAATAGTTTTGAGAACAATATACTTCTAAAATTAATTTAAACACATTTTACCATGTTCCTTACTTATAAGTACACTTATAATAAAAATAAAATCAAAGGACGTTAGAAAAATAAGCAATATGATTTAAGAGCCACTCTTTCAATAAAACCCAATCATTATGCATTTAAAAATAACATTAAAAACTATAAAAATCTTAGTAAAACAAATGCAGAATTTGGCACCATTTAGCAATGCCATCGTACGGATATATAGATTTCAGTTTTCCTTCTTTTGACACAAAGTTGCTATTAGACCAGGAAGCAGCAAGGAGAAGCCGAGTAACTCCACTTAGTATGTCCCTAAAGGCACTAAATCAGCAGAAATAAATTGTAGCAGTACTGCTCGGATGAAAACTTTCACTTTAGGAGGTGATCAGTTTAGTTCTTTCTATAAGTAGATCCATTTTGGTTACATCTGAATGAAAGCAGTCATTCTCACAAAGCTGTAAAAGGTTCTGAGATCTTCCTTATGAAGTGCCTTTTTTCCCCAGTCATACTGATGACCATATTCTTATCATCTTGCTCTCCTACAACATGAAAAATATCTAAAGATTTATCTATGTTTCACTTCATCTAGCTCTTCCATCAATGTGAACCAACTTTATGTGTTCCTAAATAAAAATAGATTTTTCTGGATGGAAAATATCTGAGAAAATGGAAAGAGACCTTAAATGACAAATTCACTAGGAACTAAAATGTCAAATACTAAAATCATGCAACTGGAATTAAAACATAAAGGAAAGCTGGCAAGCACCACTATAGGGAAGAAATCTGTTTATACAGAAAGGAAGCTACAAATGGAGAGGACAGTAAGATTTTTTTCCTCATTTGTATAGAACAAAATACCTTCACTTTTGTACAAAAATTGCAATATAAGTATCATCAAAAATGATTTTTTTTGTGCAGTTAGAATGTTTTGATTTACTGAATTAAATATTCCACCCTTCCCACAACTCCCAGCAACCTGAATCACAGAGTTAAGTACAGCATTTATACATTTAGCAGGGAAAAAAAATTAAGTGATGTTAAGTCTTCACATTCAGTTAGTTTTAAAATTACTAGCTTTACCAGAGCAACTTCATACTCTCTAATAATGCATACCAACCTAGTAGCATATGCCAAAAGCCTTTGACAGGAAAATGAGGAATCCCAAATGTCATAAAATATTTGCATTGTTAGAATTTTGTTAACTTCTCAGTAAGTCAGTTTTAAAAATTGCATTGTAATGTTTCTGCCCCCTGTGAAAGGACCTGCTGCTACAGAAATCCATTATAACAGAAACAATGCTTGCCTAATCAGAGAAACAACATTTTCTTTAGCTTCAGAGGAACAAGCACAAATAACACATTTACATAAACATGTAAAATATGCTTTGGCAGAATGAACAGAGCCATATGCAGACAACATTCTCTTCAATGCATCTCCATTTCCATTATCAACGTAATTATCGTCAATCACCATCACCACATCACTGCAACACCATAGCCATGTTTCCTCTTTTTCCCACCCCTCTTCTTTAAACATTCTTACCTCTCTCCCTCCTTGTACTGTCTCTAGTCTTTTCAAGTTTAAACCCTGAAAAAGAAAAGCAAAGTATATTATTATTGGCAACGAAGAATTAAATAATAATTCATATTAGTGCAATAATTTTGAAATAAAGGAAATAATTCACTTATTCGTAACAAAGAAGATCTGAATATAGATGACTATCTCATGGGTGTGTATGTGTCTATGTGTGTGTAGCTAAGTAAGTCTTCAAATGTAGTCCCAATGCATTTCCTGCCGACCCCTACATCATAAGTAAAAATAAAATGTTAATACATCTATTTTAAGCAATGATTGCCTACCCTTTGTTGAAACCAAAGATGTTTAAACTTGAACTAGTATGTACAGTATATTCTATGATGGTAACCTCCTACTCTAGTTCACCTACCAGCAGATCTCAGCGCCCAAACAAAGTCAGATTGATAAAAGACAGCAGAAGCCCTTGCAGTACTGCTGATTATCTATAAAATATTCAGGATTTTATTTCCTGTCAAAGGGCTTTCTCTGTCTTCTATTAGCATACCTGATCTCCACAATATAAAAGAAGGATCCACTTTAAGTTCCTAATAAGCACTATACTTAATTAAAAGAAGAAAGAGTTATTCTTTTTCTTAGCAAGTCAATTTTGTCATTAAAAGTAATGGCAAAAACTACAATTACTTTTGCTCTAATCTGATAAATTATTTAACAAAGCTTTGGAGAACACA
This sequence comes from Homo sapiens, assembly GCF_000001405.40. Taxonomy (NCBI): domain Eukaryota; kingdom Metazoa; phylum Chordata; class Mammalia; order Primates; family Hominidae; genus Homo; species Homo sapiens. The sequence continues at coordinate 91,085,272 of NC_000004.12, read as the reverse complement.
AATTTAAAAATGTTCACACTATCATTAAGAATTTTGATTAAAGTCAAAGTATTTATCTATTTTTGATGAAAATTTGAATAGCACATAATAATAATTATATATTTGCATTACCAATGCATTTATCACATACATTGCACTATCAATGTATAAGGTAAAAAAAAAAAAGTGTCCTGTAGTAAAGATGCACTAGACCTATTATGTTTCTAGCTTTATATTTAGGAATTTGAATTTAAGAAGATACTATTACTGTTGTTATTCCATTAAGTAGCAACAATAATAATGCTGGGAGTGCAATATTGTAGTTAAGTATTTCATAGTTACATGATAACTTTTTTTTCATTTGGCTACAGCATTTATGTTTAAAAAATTTTCAGGGTTTTTTCAAACATGTTATCTCTTCATCATCATTTCTTGATTGTTTAGATAAAAACACATGAACATACATATTAACTAAACCATTTTATTTTAAACAGTAGCTTTACTACTCTCTTGACCCTAGAAAATGTTCTAGGATCAACATGGCATACCATTTATTTTTGTATATAGGTGGTAGCCTGTTTTCTGATTATAGAAAATTATCTAAATTTATAGAACAGTTTAAAGAGGCTAAATTATATGTGACAAAGAATATAAAACAAAAAATTAGAACATTTCTTAAATGTAAAGCTTATGCTAAAAGTAAATTCTGAAGTAGTATTCATGCTTATAGATTTTTGCATCTGGGAGATAGTATAATGGGATGCTTTGAATTCAGACTGACATAATTTTAAATCTCTGGTTTGTCACTTTCTTCTCTATGCCCTTTAACAAATTACATAATATCTCTCAATTTCATCTTTTGTGACTGAAAAATGATAATAAATATAGTAGCTACCAAATGTATTTGCTAGGAAGATTAAATGAGATATTATATGTAACAGCATTTAGCAAAGGGCCAGGCACAGCATATCCCAAAATAGTAATTACTGTCTTCTCTTCTGCCTCCTCTCATTTTTATCATTATTACACATGTATAATTAGCTAAATATAAGATCAATTTGAGGCTGGGTATGGTGGCTCATGCCTGTAATCTCTACACTTTGGGAGGCACAGGCAGGTGGATCACTTGAGGTCAGGAGCTCAAGACCAGCCTGGCCAAATAGGGAAACCCTGTCTCCACTAAAAATACAAAAAAATTAGCTGGGTGTGGTGGTGGGTGCCCATAATCCCAGCTACTCGGGAGGCTGAGGCAGGAGAATAGCTTGAACCCAGAAAGCAGAGGTTACAGTGAGTCGAGATCATGGGAGTATTGTTTTCATAAAGCTTGTGGGGAAAACATTGGCCTTACATCTTTAAACAGTTTTTCTGACCCTCAATTTTCCTACCATCTAATTCTGGAACTCAAATTATATATTAAATGACTTGTTAATGTCACCAAAATCACTGACACTGTTTACTTTTGTAAAACCTCCTTTTCTCTTGGTATTTTGTATGTTTTCTACTGTTACACCTTCAAGTTCATTGATCTTTTCTTCTGCAGTGTCTTATCTGCTTTTAATCCCATTCAGTGAAATTTTTATTTCAGCTATCTTAGTTTTCATTTCTAGAAGTTTAATTTTGATATTATTTTACTATCTATTTCTCTCATATTATACTTCTCTTTATACTTCTCATTAAATCCTTGACATTTTTATTTGTAATAGTTTTTTTGTTTTTATTTTATTTCATTTTACTTTATTTTACGTTAAGTTCTAGGGTACATATGCACAACATGCAGATTTGTTACATAGGTATACATGTGCCATGTTGGTGTGCTGCACCCATTAACTCATCATTTACATTAGGTATATCTCCTAATGCTATCCTTCCCCCCGCCAACCCCCCGGCAGGCTCCTGTGTGTGATGTTCCCCACCTTGTGTCTGTGTGTTCTTATTGTTCAATTCCCACCTATGAGTGAGAACATGAGGTGTTTGGTTTTCTGTCCTTGCCATAGTTTGCTCAGAAGGATGGTTTCCAGCTTCATCCATGTCCCTATAAAGGACATGAACTCATCATTTTTTATGGCTGCATAGTATTCCATGGTATATATGTGCCACATTTTCTTAATCCAGTCTATCATTGATGGACATTTGGGTTGGTTCCAAGTCTTTGCTATTGTGAATAGTGCCACAATAAACATACGTGTTCATGTGTCTTTATAGCAGCATGATTTATAATATTTTGAGTATATGCCCAGTAATGGGATGGCTGGGTCAAATGCTATTCCTAGTTCTAGATCCTTGAGGAATCGCCACACTGTCTTCCACAATGGTTGAACTAGTTTACAGTCCCACTAATAGTGTAGAAGTGTCCCTATTTCTCCACATCCTCTCCAGCATCTGTAGTTTCCTGACTTTTTAATGATCGTCATTCTAACTGGTGTGAGATGGTATCTCATTGTGGTTTTGATTTGCATTTCTCTGATGACCAGTGATGATGAGCATTTTTTCATGTGTCTTTTGGCTGCATAAATGTCTTCTTTTGAGAAGTGTCTGTTCATATCCTTCGCCCACTTTTTGATGGGGTTGTTTGATTTTTTCTTGTAAATCTGTTTAAGTTCTTTGTAGATTCTGGATATTAGCCCTTTGTCAGATGGGTAGATTGTAAAAATTTTCTCCCATTCTGTAGGTTGCCTATTCACTCTGATGGTAGTTTCTTTTGCTGTGCAGAAGCTCTTTAGTTTAATTAGATCCCATTTGTCAATTTTGGCTTCTGTTGCCATTGCTTTTGGTGTTTTAGTCACAAAGTCCTTGCTCATGCCTATGGCCTGAATGGTATTGCCTAGGTTTTCTTCTAGGGTTTTAATGGTTTTAGGTCTGACATTTAAGTCTTTAATCCATCTTGAATTAATTTTTGTATAAGGTGTAAGGAAGGGATCCAGTTTCAGCTTTCTACATATGGTTAGCCAGTTTTCCCAGAAGCATTTATTAAATAGGGAATCCTTTCCCCATTTCTTGTTTTTGTCAGGTTTGTCAAAGATGGTTGTAGATGTGTGGTATTATTTCCGAGGGCTCTTTTCTGTTCCATTGGTCTATATCTCTGTTTTGGTACCAGTACCATGCCGTTTTGGTTACTGTAGCCTTGTAGTATACTTTGAAGTCAGGTAGCATGATGCCTCCAACTTTGTTCTTTTGGCTTAGGATTGTCTTGGCAATGAAGGCTCTTTTGTGGTTCCGTATGAAATTTAAAGTAGTTTTTTTCCACTTCTGTGAAGAAAGTCATTGGTAGCTTGATGGGGATGGCATTGAATCTATAAATTACCTTGGGCAGTATGGCCATTTTCACGATATTGATTCTTCCTACCCATGAGCATGGAATGTTCTTCCATTTGTTTGTATTCTCTTTTGTTTCATTGAGCAGTGGTTTGTAGTTCTCCTTGAAGAGGTTCTTCACGTCCCTTGTAAGTTGGATTCCTAGGTATTTTATTCTCTTGGAAGCAATTGTGAATGGGAGTTCACTCATAATTTGGCACTCTGTTTGTCTGTTATTGGTGTATAAGAATGCTTGTGATTTTTGCACATTGATTTTGTATCCTGAGACTTTGCTGAAGTTGCTTATCAGCTTAAGGAGATTTTGGGCTCAGATGATGGGGTTTTCTAAATATACAATCATGTCATCTGCAAACAGGGACAATTTGACTTCCTCTTTTCCTAATTGAATACCCTTTATTTCTTTCTCTTGCCTGATTGCCCTGGCCAGAACTTCCAACACTATGTTGAATAGGAGTGGTGAGAGAGGGCATCCCTGTTTTGTGCCAATTTTCAAAGGGAATGCTTCCAGTTTTTGCCCATTCAGTATGATATTGGCTGTGGGTTTGTCATAAATAGCTCTTATTATTTTGAGATATGTCCCATGAATACCTAATTTATTGAGAGTTTTTTGCATGAAGGGCTGTTGAATTTTATTCATCGAAGGCCTTTTCTGCATCTATTGAGATAATCATGTGGTTTTTGTCTTTGGTTCTGTTTACATGATGGATTACGTTTATCGATTTGCATATGTTGAACCAGCCTTGCATCCCAGGGATGAAGCCAACTTGATCGTGGTGGATAAGCTTTTTGATTTGCTGCCTAATTCGGTTTTCCAGTATGTTATTGAGGATTTTTGCATCGATGTTCATGAGGGATATTGGTCTAAAACTCCCTTTTTTTGTTGTGTCTCTGCCAGGCTTTGGTATCAGGATGATGTTGGCCTCATAAAATGAGTTAGGGAGGATTCCCTCTTTTTCTATTGATTGGAATAATTTCAGAAGGCATGGAACCAGCTCCTCTTTGTACCTCTGGGTAGAATTTGGCTGTGAATCCGTCTGGTCCTGGACTTTTTTTGGTTGGTAGGCTATTAATTATTACCTCAATTTCAGAACCTGTTATTGGGATTCAACTTCTTCCTGCTTTAGTCTTGGGAGGGTGTATGTGTCCAGGAATTTATCCATTTCTTCTAGATTTTCTGGTTTATTTGCATAGAGGTGTTTATAGTATTCTCTGATGGTAGTTTGTATTTCTGTGGGATCGGTGGTGATATCCCCTTTATCATTTTTTATTGTATCTATTTGATTCTTCTCTTTTTTCTTCCATATTAGTCTTGCTAGTGGTCTATCAATTTTGTTGATCTTTTCAGAAAACCAGCTCCAGGATTCATTGATTTTTTGAAGGGTTTTTTGTGCCTCTATCTCCTTCAGTTCTGCTCTGATCTTAGTTATTTCTTGCCTTCTGCTAGCTTTTGAATGTGTTTGCTCTTGCTTTCTAGTTCTTTTAATTGTGATGTTAGGGTGTCAATTTTAAATCTCTCCTGCTTTCTCTTATGGGCATTTAGTGCTATTAATTTACCTCTACACACTGCTTTGAATGTGTCCCAGAGATTCTGGTGTGTTGTGTCTTTGTTCTCATTGGTTTCAAAGAGCATGTTCATTTCTACCTTCATTTCTTTATGTACCCAGTAGTCATTCAGGAGCAGGTTGTTCAGTTTCCATGTAGTTGAGTGGTTTTGAGTGAGTTTCTTAATCCTGAGTTCTAGTTTGATTGCCCTGTTGTCTGAGAGACAGTTTGTTACAATTTCTGTTCTTCTACATTTGCTGAGGAATGCTTTATTTCTGACTATGTGGTCAATATTGGAGTAAGTGTGATGTGGTGCTTAGAAGAATGTATGTTCTGTTGTTTTGGGGTGGAGAGTTCTGTAGATGTCTATGAGGTCTGCTTGGTGCAGAGCTGAGTTCAATTCCTGGATATCCTTATTAACTTTCTGTCTTGTTGATCTGTCTAATGTTGACAGGGGGTTGTTAAAGTCTGCCATTATTATTGTGTGGGAGTCTAAGTCCCTTTTTAGGTCTCTCAAGGCTTGCTTCATGAATCTGGGTGCTCCTGTATTGGGTGCCTATAAATTTAGAATAGTTAGCTCTTTTTGTTGAATTGATCCCTTTACCATTACATAGGTCTTCTTTGTCTCTTTTGATCTTTGTTGGTTTAAAGTCTGTTTTATCAGAGACTAGGACGGCAACCCCTGCTTTGTTTTGTTCTCCATTTGCTTGGTTGATCTTCCTGCATCCCTTTATTTTGAGCCTATATTTGTCTCTGCATGTGAGATGGGTCTCCTGAATTCAGCACACTGATGGGTCCTGACTGTATCCAATTTGCCAGTCTGTGTCTTTTATTTGGAGCATTTAGCCCATTTACATTTAAGATTCATATTGTTATGTGTGAATTTGATCCTGTCATTATGATGTTAGCTGGTTATTTTGCTCATTAGTTGATGCAACTTCTTCCTAGTATTGATGGCCTTATTTGGCATGTTTTTGCAGTGGCTGGTACCAGATGTTCCTTTCTATGTTTAGTACTTCCTTCCAGAGCTCTTGTAAGGCAGGCCTGATGGTGACAAAATCTCTCAGCATTTGCTTGTCTGTAAAAGATTTTATTTCTCCTTCCCTTATGAAGCTTAGTTTGGCTGAATATGAAATTCTTGGTTGAAAATTCTTTTCTTTAAGAATGTTGAATATTGACCCCCACTCTCTTCTGGTGTGTAGAGTTTCTGCTGAGAGATCTGCTGTTAGTCTGATGGGCTTCCCTTTGTGGGTAACCTGACCTGTCTGGCTGCCCTTAACCTTTTTTCCTTTGTTTCAACTTTGGTGAATCTGAAAATTATGTGTCTTGGATTTGCTCTTCTCGAGGAGTATCTTTGTGGCGTTCTCTGTATTTCCTGAATTTGAATGTTGGCCTGCCTCGCTATGTTGGGGAAGTTCTCCTGGATGATATCCTGAAGAGTGTTTTCCAACTTGGTTCCATTCTCCCCATCACTTTCAGGTACATCAATCAGATGTAGATTTGGTCTTTTCACATAGTCCCATATTTCTTGGAGGGTTTGTTCATTTCTTTTTACTTTTTCTCTAAACTTCTCTTGTCGCTACATTTCATTCATTTGATCTTCAATCACTGATACCCTTTCTTCCATTTGATTAAATCTGCTATTGAAGCTTGTGCATTCATCACGTAGTTCTCGTGCCATGGTTTTCAGCTCCATCAGGTCATTTAAGGACTTCTCTACACTGTTTTTTCTAGTTTGCCATTTGTTTACTCTGTTTTCAAGGTTTTTAGCTTCTTGCGATGGGTTCGTACATCCTCCTTTAGCTCGGAGAAGTTTGTTATTACCAGTCTTCTGAAGCCTTCTTCTCTCGACTCATCAAAGTCATTCTCTGTCCAGCTTTGTTCCATTGCTGGCGAGGAGCTGCGTTCCTTTGGAGGAGAAGAGGCTTTTGATTTTTAGAATTTTCAGCTTTTCTGCTCTGGTTTCTCCACATCTTTGTGGTTTTATCTACCTTTGGTCTTTGATGATGGTGACGTACAGATGGGGTTTTTGTGTGGATGTCCTTTCTGTTTGTTACTTTTCCTTCTAACAGTCAGGACCTTCAGCTGCAGGTCTGTTGGAGTTTGCTGGAAGTCCACTCCAGACCCTGTTTGCCTGGGTATCACCTGCGGAGGCTGCAGAACAGCAAATGTTGCTGCCTAATCCTTCCTCTGGAAGCTTCGTCTCAGAGGGGCAACCAGCCTTATGAGGTGTTAGTAGGCCCCTACTGGGAGGTGTCTCCTATTTAGGCTACTCAGGGGTCAGGAACCTGCTTGAGGAGGCAGTCTGTCTGTTCTCAGATCCCAAACTCTGTGCTGGAAGAACCACTATTCTCTTCAAAGCCGCCAGACAGGGACATTTAAGTCTGCAGAAGTTTCTGCTGCCTTTTGTTCGGCTATGCCCTGCCCCTAGAGGTGGAGTCTACAGAGGCAGGCGGGCCTCCTTGAGCTGTGGTGGGCTCCACCCAGTTCGAGCTTCCCTGGCTGCTTTACCTACTCAAGCCTCAGCAATGGCAGATGCCCCTCCACCAGCCTCGCTGCCACCTTGCAGTTCTATGTCAGACTGCTGTGCTAGCAATTAGTGAGGCTCCATGGCCATGGGGCCCTCTGAACCAGGTGTGGGATATAATCTCCTGGTGTGCTGTTTGCTAAGACCATTGGAAAAGTGCAGTATTGGGGTGGGAGTGCCCCAATTTTCCAAGTGCCCTCTGTCAGGGCTTCCCTTTACTAGGAAAGGTAATTCCCTGACCTCTTGTGCTTCCCAGGTGAGGTGATGCCCCACCCTGCTCTGTGGGCTGCACCCATTTGTCTGGCAAGCCCCAGTGAGATGAACCTGGTACCTCAGTTGGAAATGCAGAAATCACCCGTCTTCTTCGTCATTCACACTGTGCAATAGTGTTTTCAACTTTTTCTGTTAACTTCATTATCTGTCATTTCCAGGTCTGTTTCTATTGACTGAATTTTCTCCTGATCTGAGTCACATTTTACTATTTTTTCTCATGTCCAGTAATTTTTTATTGGTTGCCAGATATTATAAATTTTATTTTATTTAGTGTTACATTTAGGTGCATTGATTTAGATGTAGAATTGTTCCTGGCAGGCAGTTAAGTTACCTGTGAGTGATACTGATTCCTTTGAGGCTTGCATTAAACATTTTTTAGGGTGAGTCTGAAGTAGTCTTTAGTGTTAATTTATCCCTGTTCCTAAGGCTTGGTCCCTCTGTGCTCTCTACTGAATACCCTCTGTATTTAATGGGGGTTCCCTATTCTGGCTGATGGGAAATCAAAAGATTACCAGACCTGTGAGACCCCTGGGAATTCTACTGACAGTTCACTCTAATTATTCTTTTCTCACAGTTGTTCTTTGCCTGGTCATGTGGAATTTCACATTATGTATGTGTAGATTGCTATTCAAACAAATATTCTGGGGAGGCCCTATGCGGATTTCTAGAGCTCTTTGTGTATTTCCCTCCTCTCTGGTAATCTGCCCCACAAATTCTAGCTCCTTTGTTCTCTCTAAACTCAGATCTTATCTTCTCAACTACAAAATTTGAATACCATGAAGTTATGTTTAGGCTGTTCCTCCATGTACCATGTACCATGGTCTAAAAATTGCCTCCAGTCAGAAATTCCAGTGTTGGATTGATCTCATTTGTTTCTCTTCTCTTGAAGATCATAGCCTTTCTATGTATTTAGTCCAGTTTTCTAGCAATGAAAGCTGGAAGACAAGACTTACAGATGTAACTCCTTCATGAATAGAAACAGAAGTCAAGGTAAATATTATTTTAGCTTATTTTTTCAAAGGAGGAAATTAAAGTTTACAAAATTTAAATTATGTGACTAAGTTCCAGATCTAGTAAGCATAAAATAAAACTTAAACCAATATTTTAAGAGCCTCAATACCAAGTTCATCCTTTCATCCTTAGTCAAATTGCTTTAAACTTCCATCAGTCAAAATGTTTAATGTATTACATACTTTTCAATACAAATTTATTGTAACATGAAACTCATGTATGAATCATCATGATTCTTCAAAGCAACACAGTGATTAAAAGGAGCTGGGAATAAGCATTTAGTGGAAAAAAAAAAAACTGCATGGTTGGAATATGGAATGAAAGGCAAGCTTGCCAGAGTAGATAAGAGGTACTGTATAAACAATGTAAAAAGCTTGGTATAATTTAGGCACTAGATTATTGACAGACCAAGATTCAGGTTGAAAACCTGAAGCAGTATATCTGATGACAAGAATTTGAGAGCTGTGTGGGCAAAAAATAATGGCTTAAGAGGATTTTCCATATGATACTAGGGCTTTAGACAAGATTGTGTTTCAAAGGAGAAGTAAGGTATAGTAAGATTCATTAATTCTATGATCTGGGAGATGCCAAGCCTTAACTGATAGCAGAAATTACTCTTGAGTACTAGAGCAAGACTGTCTTCAAGTTGGAAGGTCAGGTGGCTTGAATGTGGAAAACTGTTAGGGAAGTATCAACTGTGACTTACAACCTATGCTAGGAAACATGCACAATCTTGATTTTTACTGACTCTTATTGACAGTAATTTGGTTGATTTGCTTTAAAAAAAATCATACTGTAATATCACCCCAACTAACTAAGAAATAACATTTAGCACAAGGGATACTTTCAAAATAAGTATTAATCTAAAATAACCCAAACACCTTTATTTGTGTTCACTTATATATACCACACAACAAAAAAATCCTTTGCATTTTTATACTTTTATATCATTTCCACTAAAACACATATTAAAATACTTCAGAAAGAAGAATATGTTTTAGTTCTATTCACTGAGACAATTTGTCTGACTCTTCAAAAGACTTGATGTACACACGAACAGTCAAATTATTCATATATATGTATGCATATGGGTTGATTCTTAATATTAATATAAGATTCACAGAATTTTAATTGATTTAAAATCCACTTTGTTATTCTTCAACCATATATAAATGTAATATTTGCCTAGCATGTCTTGAGCAAAGCATATTTAAAAATACTCTGGGGGATGTGGTTGGAAAAAATTCATTTCCCTCAGTATACATATTTCTCACTATAGAATATGAAATCTCTGCATTGATCAAAATTAATCACATGAGACAAAACCAAAATGTTATAAATTTTAGGTAGGAAAAAAATTACCCTAAAGCAAATGTTCTGCAGTGTGCTAAATTAAGATGGTTTAGTACGGCAGGAAGGGAGAAAGGCTATTAACTGGAAAAAAAAAAAATAGAACTTCCTACCAAATTTGTCTTGCATTCTAGTAACTGCATGAACACCCCTGGTAACTGCGCTGGCATACAGACCCACTTTGTCTAAGGTACACAGGGAGGTGAGGGAAGAGATCTACCCCTTCATAATGATTAGAAACCCTTCTAAAACTTCTATCATGTCATAAGGATTTCTCCTGCTTCCCTGTAAACAAAAAGGCAGAAATCACTATCTAATATCCCTAGATTTGGTTGATTTATTTTTTCTGATTGAAAAAATATAGATTGGACAGATGGAATAAATATTTTATTTCTAGAACTTCAGAGATTTCGTTGTGACAGTTTTTCTTAACATGTAGAAAGTAGCCATGATTTAACTGAATAAAATAATAATTTTTAAAAGGCTTCAAGTAACTGTGTGACTTTTTAACATTTAGCTTTAGCCGTGAAGGCACAGGAAAGAGCTAGAAGGAACTTTAGATAACTGTAGCTCAACCTCTTCATTTTATAGATGAGGAGGCTTGCAGCCAGGGAACTTAATTTATAAGTGTCAGTTTGGGGACTTGAACTCTGGCCACGGGGTCCCTAATCCAGAATTATCTTTGTTTAAACAAATTGTTTCAGCAGTTCTATCATAAATCATAGTCTTAAAAACTGTATAACTTCTAGAGCATTCCTTAACCATTTCATGGGCCAGGTTCCACAGCTATAAAATTGAAATAATTTATAGTATAAATGAAAGAATCTTTATAAAACGCAGCACAGTGCCTACTCCATCGTTAACTGCAACATGCACTGATGTTAGTGGCATAAGATGTTGCTGCCCTTATTGGCATTATCTAAATAAAAGACTCATTACTATTTCAGTTATAAAAATAACTAATATTTGTTGCATGTTCTCTATGTACCAAGCACCATTCCAAGTGTTTTACCTGGATTAATTTAATTCTGACCATAGCCTTATCACATGTTATATTGCAAAATAGTTCTTCCCCCATTGGGCTGAAATGAAAATGATCTACCAGTTATTCTGTTTTGTTTTTGAACTGATCTCTTTAGACAAAATAAAATGCAACCCCTTATTAGTTCTTGCTATTGTTAGTTTCACGTTGCAGCTACAGCATGTGGCCCAAAGAACGACAAGAGTCGTAAAACACTTCTGGCCTGCTTGCTTTTCACTGCCACATTTATTATATGGCAGCATCATATTAGTGACAGAAACACATTGTTGGATGATAAGGATATTGTTTAAGTCTCTGGGTCTTTGCTTGCCTGGTAAAAAATTGATGATTATCGGGAGGAGGATATAGAGAGTTGTAATGGATGATCTCTGCAGAGTGGTAAAATCTAGTATCTGTATTATGTTTTAATTTTAAGACAGGTATATTGGTCCTTTTACAGGTTCTTACTCTGTGTCTTTCTGTTTTGTATGGCCTCTCAGTGAAACTAATTAAACTACTCAAGAAGTTAAAAAATTCCAAAAAACTTTGAACACAGCTTACACACCTATTGTCAGCCTTATTTAAGCTTCCGTAGTTTCTGATTTTTTTAACTTACATATCTGTATTTTACTCTATCAGTTTGTTGTGTAAATTTTTGATTCAGTTTCAATTTCCAATTATATTGTTGATAAAAATATTTTGTTGCATATATGGACTTCTAATGTTAGTCTTACTTAGGATTCGTTTTGTAAGTGATAATATCGAGGAGTGTCATAGGTTTACAGAATTGACTTAGAAACACAGAACATTTCCTAAGGCAACTTAACCTACTTAAAAACTGCACTAATTCATTCTTACACATAAATCCAGTCTTCCTTTTAAGTTAATAAACATAGTTTAAAGATTTGTAATTCTTTTATCTCTTTTTTAGCCATTTATTGAAAAAATATTCACCCCCTAGGCTATGTTGAAATTTAAGTCACAGAGGGATTTCTAAAGCACATGTTTGAAAATTTTATGGAGTTTATCATGATTTGGGCTAAAATCTATTGAAATACAAAGAACAGCCAAATGTCAAAATTTATCAAACTATATTTTTTCTTCCCTCCTTTCTAAATTAATCCTATTAATCTTTGAATGTCTATACTGTAATAAGCCATTCACTGGAAGCTTTGAATTGTTGTTCACGTCCCATTTAAAAAAAGAATATATGTCATTATTTTCAGGCACTTAACCATGCTTCACTTTTAAGGTTCTGTCTTTGTAAAAATGGAAAATCCTCACTTATTACCTTAAGCAATATTGTAACCATACCACAGGATACTTCTAAATATACACATATGTATGTAACAGAAATATTTACATTTTGAGTCTGACTAGGTGCCAGGCATTATGCAGTACATGTTACATGGATTATTTTTATATCATTTTATATACTTTTTTTATACCTCACAATTACAATATGTTACCATTACTAATCCCCATTTTGCCATAGAAAAATTGAGGGAAGGAGAGGTTAATTAACTTTCCTAAGGATATACAGATCAAAGAAAGCAGAGTTGAATACTGAGCCCAGAGTATCTCATTACAGAGCTACTTTTGGAACTATTACACATACTACCTCCAAAAGTAACTAATACTTTATTTTTATGTGTGTTGAGATAACTAACTGACATGATTTGGATACATGTTTAGCAAATCAGTGATTGAGTAACCTATTAAATGAGTAAGCCTAATTCCAGAACTATATTAATGTTCAAGAGATCAATCTAAACCATGTCATTTTTACCAACTGAAGAAGTAAATGCAAAATAATAAATGATTGGTTTTGAATTCATTTAGATTTGAAAATAACTGTGGGGAAAAAAAGTTAAGTAAATGACGTTGAATTCCAGAAGCCCTGATTCCTTGGGAAAAAATGTGAAATTCAATTGAAATATTTCCTGAGGCAGACAAAAATTAAAAGAAAATTAATGTTACTGTATGGGCACAAATAACATTTCATAGAGTGTGTCTGTGATTATTGTTGCTTAAGGCTAACTAAAATATTAAACTAGATTAGCACTTCCATGCCCCCCAGTTTTCTAGCAGTTCTCATCTTGGTACATTGCATAAGTTAAATTCCTTCTGCTCCAGGGACTTGGGTCATCATATTTTATGAGGTTTCATACAGTAGAGTTTATCCTGAAACTAGATTACTTATAGCATGTCTGATGCTCATACCTGAGTGGTTGTTTGTGATGGTGTTTTCCAGTTCAGATATGAGACTAATCACCAATATAAACTTTATGGGGTATTATTTCTAACAATTCTGATTGGTAATCTAATCCTTAAATAGGAAGTCAAAGACACCCTTTCAGAAAACAAGTAACTCTAAATATTGTCAGTGAAAGGCATGTTGATTTAGCATGCAATCATGGTGGTAAACAGTCTAACCGTGAATTTAAATATGTAAGAACTGGACTAGCACTTAATGTGTGATATGTCACATCATAAGGCAATTATTTTGCTATTTGAAAAACTATTTGATGAGATACTAAGCTTATTGAATCAATCTATCTAGTAAGCTACGTTTCATATTTGTACCGTAGATCATAAAAAGAGAGAATGCACTCAAATAGGTAAAAAGAGAGTATTAATAGCTAGATTATGATTATTTGCATATGAATCTGTCTATTATGTCTGTCCCCATCTCTCTATACACCAAACCCATCAATCCATTGCAACATTATGACTCTCTTGATAGTTCTTAACATGCCAAGCATTCTTCCACCATAGGCCTTTGGACTAGATGTTCATCCTGCCTGGAACTCTCTTCACCTAGATATCTGCATAGCCAACTCCCATGGCTTATCAAGTCTTTGTTTGTATCTCACCTTCTCAATGAGCACTACTTTTACCACTCTATTTAATATTACAATCTTCTGCCTACTTCACTTCTGGCACCCTTAAAACATTTTAACACACTGTATAAATTTATTATTATTGTGTGTTATCATCTTTCCATGTTAGAATAAAAGTACCTCAAAGACAGGGATCTTTGTTTTTATGTTTCTAAATTATACCAGTTGCTCAAACAGTGCTTGGTGCATGATGCTAGGTTCTAAATAAGTACTTAAATATTTGCAAAATGAATGGAATATTTACTTTTCTAAGCATCCATGTATCTAAATAGTTTTACCAAATTTGTACTATATTAATTTAGATCCATAAGTAATATCAGTAGTGTTCACTTTGGAGATCATATTAATTTATTTATTCTTATTAAAGTTAAGCCAACAAAAATCTAGTATTTCTTCTATAATTTTAAGAGAGTCAGCATTTTCTTATCACACTATCTACAACACCACAGAGAGTGTGCCATCATGTTTTTCTATTAAATGCTAAACAATAATCAGTGACAAAGACTTTATTTTTTAAAATTGTTAATACCAGACTCTCTTGTAGAGCGGCGGTTCCCAACCTTTTTGGCACCTGGAACTGGTTTTGTGGAAGGCATTTTTTCCACCGCTGGGGGTGAGGATGGTTTTGGGATGAAATTTTTCAACCTCAGATCATCAGGCATTAGATTCTCATAAGGAGTGCCCAACCAAGATCCCTTGCATGCACAGTTCACAATAGGGTTTGTGCTCCCATAAGAATCTAATGCAGCCACTGATCTCACAGGAGGCAGATGTCAGGCAGTAATGCTCATTTGCCTACTGGTCATCTCCAGCTGGGCAGCCTGGTTCTTAACAGGTCATGGACAAGCATGGTCCGTGGCCTGGGGGTTAGGGACCCCTGCCAAAGAGCACAATTCTTGACAGGACAGTGTCCCCATTCTATCAAGATAATGGTTATTTCAGGGTGAAAACTAAACTAACTTGCAATGTTTAGAAATATAAACTGAGTTCAACTAAAATAAAGAGGATGGATTAGAAGTAGCACAATACCAAGAGTAATGATTTAGTTTTAACATAATGTTTTAAAATTAAAGAAGGTCCTGGGAACTCATGCCTGTAATCCCAGCACTTTGGGAGGCCAAGGCAGGCAGATCACAAGGTTAAGAGTTCTAAACAGTCTGGTCAACATGGTGAAACCCCATCTCTACTAAAAATACAAAAAATTTAGCCAGGTGTGGTGGTGGGCACCTGTAATCCCAGCTACTTGGGAGGCTGAGGCAGGAGAATGGCATGAACTCGGGAGGCGGAGCTTCTAGTGAGCTGAGATGGCACCACTGCACTCCAGCCTGGGTGACAGAGCAAGACTATTTCTTGGAAAAAAAAAAAAAATTAAAAAAGGTTTACTTAAGAAAGTCTGACTCTATATTATAAATTGAGAACAACACATTTAAAATGGTAAAATTATATATGATTATATACAATAAATTCTAAATGGCATTCAATGGGTTTCTGAATCTTTTCTACTCAAGAGATTCTGTACCAGCTGTTCCCTTCTTTTAATGATCTCTCCCCACAACCTTCCCAAGGTCATAGGGTTATCCCTTTGCCCTTCAAATCTCAGTTTAAATTTCCTGTGTCAAAGGACTTTCATGAGCATTGATTCTAAAATAGACATCAACTTGCTTATTGTCATATCACTCAATTTTAAGTTTCTGCTCAGGATTTAACACTGGAAAATATTTTTCATATTAATGTATTTATTATTTTGTGTACTGACTATTCTTCTCACCAGAACGTAAAGTCCATGACAGTATGTCCATCTGGTAAAACTTTATATCCCCAGTACTTAGAACAGTGTCTGGCACTTAGTAGATACTAAACTAATATTAATTAAATGAACTGAATGAATAAATCTCTATAATTACTATAAAATGATATTTATTTACCCTTTTTAACATAAACATGCCATTAATATATTGAGTATAATATTAACCATTCAAATTCATTCAGAAAAAAAAAAGTGAAATGAATAAATTGTTTCTTTTCTCTCGCTAACCTTGGGCAAATCACCAAAAACTCTGAGACTACATTTCTTTTTCAGGAAAATTAATAAACTGAACTAGGTAATCTTGAATATCTCTATTGGCTATAAAATTCTAGGATTTTCTTGTCTTTTAGAAAATCAAAATTTTTATTTTTTATTTATTTTTTTTGAGATGATGTCTCACTCTGTCTGTGCAGTGGCGCGATCTCAGCTCACTGCAACCTCTGCCTCCTAGTTTCAAGCGATTCTTCTGCCTCAGCCTCCCTAGTAGCTGGGGTTACAGGTGCATGCCACCGCACCCAGCTAATTTTTGTATTTTTTGTAAAGACAGGATTTTGCCAGGCTGGTCTCAAACTCCTGACCTCAGGTGATCCACCTGCTTCAGCCTCCCAAAGTGCTGGGATTACAGGCATGAGCCACCATGCCTGGCCAAAAATCAAAATTTTAAAAATGTCTCCATTTTAATATTTGAGCATTGTTACCTAAACGATTTCAACTAAATAAGTGTATCAGTATACAAAAGTTGTGGCCTTTACCTATATCAAACTGGAGTCTCAATGCTTTTCTTTTAAAATTTCCCTCAATTCTTTTAAGAGTACCCCAAAATATTAAACAAGTAACCAGTGGTAGTCTACGCGTGCATTATTTCACCTGCGCTGTAGGTACTTTACATTTTTAATAATTATTATCTTGTAAACTGGCATTGCTTTCAGTATATCCATATTAAGTTCCCACTTTTAAATGTAGTACTCATAATGTAAAACTACATACTATCTGAGAAACTCTATTGAAGACTCAATATTAAACAAATAAATCAGATTGTGTTAAAATCCACTGCTGGAAATCTTACTTTATTAAATGTGTTTATTTCTGTCATTATTAATTTCTAGGAACAGCAAAACATAACAGAAAAATAAATGTGCAGTCTCAGACTGTAAGTCAGAAAATGTACCGTGGCTTACATTTTTATCTCACAGATCAATGTTTCATAATTTTGACAGATCAGTGTCTCATACTGTAACTTAATATCCTCTCAAACCCAAAGAACTAACTGAAAATAAAATGACCATTTTTATTTCTCTATGATATCTACTTCAATTTAACTGCATTTGCATCATGAATTTCTGAGAATTGGATCCTACTAGGAAATCCATGAACATTGAGAAGAGAATGTTATAACTAATTGAGTATATTTTAGTTCTCCCTATCTGGTAATAACATCTTTCAAAAGTCAGGTGATGCTTTAAATATATAATTGGCTCTCATTAGATTTTCATTCAAACTAGCATTTATTTGTTATAGTAAGGAGAAGCTAATTAAATAAATTCCATGGCTATGTCTAACAAGTTAGCCAGGATGTACCAGTCAAGAAGATAGATTTTGAAATTAAATCTGTATATTAACTTAAATGATATTACTTGGATTCATTCAACATGGAAAAGCTAGTCACTGTTTCTCATGAAACAGCAATCTGACCACTGCTTAGAGGACTAGTTACTCTCTATAGCAGATAACTCATTACAAAAGGTATTCTCTAATATTCATAACTAACTTCAAACCACTTTTTAGCTTTTCCAACCAGGAGCACAGAAACCTGTGAGAAACACTGAGGCTCCTTAGGGACTTCGTTTTTATCTACCTGCTCCACCATCACAAAGGGTGTAATTTACCTTAAAGAAGAAGGATGGGGTGGGTGCAGTGGCTCATACCTGTAATCCCAGCACTGTGGGAGACTGAGGTGGAAGCATCACTTGAGCCCAGGAGTTTGAGACCAACCTAGACAACATAGTGAGACTCAGCCTCTGCAAAAAATAAAAAATTACCCAGGGGTGGTAGGGCAGGCCTGTAGTCCTAGCTACTCAAGAGGCTGAGGAGGGAGGACTGTTTGAACCCAGGAGTTTCAAGCTTGCAGTAAGCTATGATGGCACCACTGCACTTCAGCTTGGGCAACAAAGTGAGAGCCTGTCTCAGCAAAAAAAAAAGAAAAAAAAAAAAGGATGAGACAAACATCTTATTGTACCAGTGTATGTGTCAGCATACACAGTCTTTCCAGTAAAAGTCATTTTACCAATCCACCAGCCTTTATTTTCTGGCTTATTCACTCATTTAACAAGTGTTGTTTTGAGTGCTGACTGTGGGACAGGGCCTATTCTTTTTTTTTTCTTTTTGAGACGTTGTCTGGCTCTGTCGCCCAGGCTGTAGTGCAGTGGCGCGATCTCTGCTCACTGCAAGCTCCGCCTCCCGGGTTCACGCCATTTCCTGCTTTAGCCTCCCAAATAGCTGGGACTACAGGCACCTGCCACCATGCCCGGCTAATTTTTTGTATTTTTAGTAAACACAGGGTTTCACCGTGTTAGCCAGGATGGTTTTGATCTCCTGACCTCGTGATCTGCCCGCCTCAGCCTTCCAAAGTACTGGGATTACAGGTGTGAGCCACCACGCCCAGCGGGACAGGGCCTATTCTATGTGCTGGGTCAAAACAGATAAGGTCTTTCTCCTGCTGCTTACACTCAACTATTCTACAAATAGATCCTTTTATATAAAGACATAGAATGTTAGCATGGAAAAACAGCCTCAGAAATCATTTAGTCCACTCCACTTTATTTTATTGGTGAAAAACTGAAACCTAGAGATAGAGAATATGATTTCTGAAGACTTCCCAGCTAGTTGGTAAAGGTCCCTATTATATATGATGTCAGTATTTGTTCTACTTCTCCAGTTACGCAGAAGAATAATTATCTATTCACACCGGCTTTGGAAAATGTTACTTTCTCCTTATTTTTTCACTATTCTCTGGTTATTCTTTTACTGTGATATGGATGATCTGATTGAGAGTTACACTTTTCAGTTTGCCCTTTACTGAGTCACCTTCCATTTCAAATTTTTTAATTGTTGTCTAACACCATAGGAAAAATCTTGGCTGCGAAGGAGGCCAGGTGAATCCCCAAGGTTTACTGCTCTGTGCTTCATTTCTCCTCTGTCGCTAACTGTGCGACCATTTGGCAACAGTTGACTCACAGCCTTAAGATAATTAGCTTTTTCTGAGAATGGCTTGGATTTTAACAAGGAAAGTATGCAACCTTTGTTTCAAAACTTAATTCTATTATTTATAGAATGTGACCCATTTTGGTGACTGTTTGATATTTTTGAAAATAGTTTACCTAAATAATGTCCTGGAAAAAGCAATCTCCCTGTGTCTGACTTCTTAATTATTTCTAATACCATCTCAAGCACATCTCATTCCAATTGAAAGCAATTAGAAAAACTTGATGGGAATATACAAAATATTACAAGTTAGGTATAAAACGCAAAGAAAATTTTAATTAAATGGATGAATGTTTGATAAAGTAATTGTACACTTCATATAATTTCATTTTTATAGATATAAGTACACTTAGCACTTGGCATTTAGAATAAATTAGTACATATTGAATCAGTGTTTTCCTAACATTTTAATTGTCATATTATTGAAAGAAGTCATATTCAAATATGATTTCTAAAACAATGACTATAAATTTTTCAGTATGATTCGGTGAAAAATTATTTATAATTTCTATACCTGTATGTGTATCAACTAATAGCTGTCCACTGAAGTTGAAAAGTTTTTATTAGTAAATGAAATACTAATCCCCAAGGAATTTGTTTAAACATACCAGAACAACCAGATAAAGTCTTGGTAATTTTTTTATTGTCCTTTATTCTACAGACAATAACACAAAAATTAAATCCATATGGAACATTAAAAAGTAAACAAGTGTTACCACATTATTTCCCAACATTGTATAAATAATTTGCTGCTTAATATCCAATGGGATTTTTTTTGATAGAAAATAGGTGAACAAATCCCTTTGGTATGAATTTCCCAATTCTAACCTTGTATATATCGAATATCAAAAATAATTAATTGTAATAGTATGATATGAATATAACTTTTACCATTATATTAATTATACAATAATGTACATCACTGTTTTGTACAATATTACACCAAATTACGCAATATTTCCCAATATTTTCTATATTCATAGCTTCCTGTATTTGTTCCCAATAACAAGAATATCACTGTACCACCTTTGTCATTGAAATCTTTAAGGATGAAGGATCTCAAATGCCACTTCTTCCTGGAGCTTTCTTAAATCTTCCTAAAAAGAACTCACATTCTCTTTCCTTATACTTCCTTAATCCTTTGGACATGTATTAAAGCATTTAACATGGTCTAAGGCCACTGTGGCTTTAGGTTTACAAAGCACTTTTTTTTTTGTAGTATACTGATGGAACTGTCAAACCTGCCTTAATACATGTGTGTTCCTGAGTTGTATTTCACCATCTTGATTTTTTACTGTACTTACAATATAAGCAAAATCCTGAAAAAAAAAATTGAAAACCTAGGTTTAGAATATCAGGATTATTCTACTGATAACAGAAGATACTTGGTGCTCCTTCTCTTATTGTGATTGTATATCCTGTTTCAAAATTCTGCTGTGTTCCTCTGTCCCCTACGTATTGTCCCTGGAAAATAGAGCAGTTACCACAGGAGGTCTTAAACTACTCTTTAGAAGGGCCTGCTTGCAGGGCTGTTACTTGGCTGGTTTCCAGCAATGTGGCTTTTGAAGTTCCCTACACTGATAAAGCTGTTTTGTTTGCCTGAGGCACTGAATTAGCTGTATCAGCCTGATTTATAGTAAACAGCTGCTTTCCTTCTGGGAGTCTGGAATTTCTATGATTGTGGCTGATCACATAGGCAGAGAGTGCCTGCATGACCAGTCCCCAGGGAAAATCTTGAACTCAGTCAACAGCAGACTCTCCTGGGCAGAAACACTGCATAAGTGTTGCTGTATTTAATTGCCGGAAGAAAGAACACATTCTGTGTGGCCCCTCCTGAGAGAAAGGGTTTTCTGAATGCTGTGCATGAATTCCTCCAGACTTTGCTGGATGTGTCTTTTCTCTTGCTGAGCTTGTTGTGTAGCCTTTCACTGTAATAAGCCATGGCTGACAGTACAATGCCTCTGAGTTATCAGAGGCCCTCTCCACCAGGATTTTTGCAAACATGTGGGTATTCTTGGGACTCATGATATGGGAGAAAACTACTTAGATTCTGTCTTACTACTTCTTTTGGCAATCTTCTTCCAGTCATTGGGAAACCATTATCACAAAAGCTGAATAACCCAATGTTACACAGAAAAAATTAATGTTTCCCTGTATCTTCTAACATTTAATTCCTCTATCAGCAATTCCTACTTGTTCACAGCAATGGCATAGTTTAAACAAGGTTTTGCCTAGTTAAAAGAAGGGAGAGTGAAAGAAAAGATAAGAAAACTATTTTTAAAAAGATTAAGTTATGTTTCAAAAGATAATGTGAGGTAATGTAGTAGAAAGAAAATATTACAGGATTTTATGATCAACTTACTATCCTGACATTTCCCAGACATGAGACCTTAGGGAAATCATTTAATGTCATTGAGAACCAATTCGGAGTATGTAAAATGGAATAATAAAACTTTTCCACCACTCTTGTAAGGATGCTGAGATCAAGTAAATTCAATTGTGCGAAATATAGCTGAACGTTATTATATTTACTTAGGATTTATTTCCATTCTAATTGTAGATTTTAGGCTTAAGCCTAAAGAAACCCAAAGGAAGAATCAGGGAGTGTAGTTCTATTAAATTCCTATATCTCCATGCAAAATTAGAAGTATACCAACCTTCACCCTCACTTTGGGGAATATAAGGAAAATCAAATAAGAAAATGAGTCAAGATAAATAGCAACTGCCTAAGAATAAGAAAATAAATCATAAACATATTTTTAATACACCAGTAAGCCTCTTTAGGGAGCATCTACTTCAACTTAAAACATTTGATTATTACCATGCAAGAATCTCTTTATTTTTCATCCCAAATTTATGTGTTAAAGAATGATGATGACAATAGTAATTGCAATAATCTCTATTAAGTGTGTGTCGTGAGCCAGGCACTAAGCTGCTAATTACATCACATGCCTTATCTCATTTAATCCTATGTGTCAAGTTAGAGATTAGATATTATTATTATCCCATATTTATAGATGAGGCAATGAAACCTTGCAAAGTTGCAACTGGTCTCTATCTAAGCAAGGATTAAGCAAAGTAAGTAGAGGGGCACTGTTTAAGCAAAATTCTTGACTAATACTACAGCATTTTCTTCTTCTCGTCTTTGGTTGGGAACACGAAACTTCAAGATTTT
This sequence comes from Homo sapiens, assembly GCF_000001405.40. Classification (NCBI taxonomy): domain Eukaryota; kingdom Metazoa; phylum Chordata; class Mammalia; order Primates; family Hominidae; genus Homo; species Homo sapiens. The sequence continues at coordinate 91,063,111 of NC_000004.12, read as the reverse complement.
CTATTTTACTTGAATGTAACTTTTCATGACATAGTTAGGTATCTGTTTTTCATTTTAAAATAGTGTATTTTTCATAATATGAATGTGAATATTATTTGATCTCTCAACATAGTCTAATAGAGTACTAAACTGTGCTCAAATAAATCATTGGTTATTCCAGGAATTTTGCTTTTCAGAATTCCCTTGCCATGTCTACATACATTAGTATATGTAAACAACAACAATAAAACAAGGTACAACAATATTAAGGGGTATGTAATATTTCAGAGTCTATACCAGAAATGATATTTGTAGATTGTTTTCTTTTTCTCTTCTTTAGTGAGATGACAAAAAAATCATTTTATTGAAGATAGAGATCTCCAAATGAAGAGTCCAGGACCAGTAGAATAATTTAAGTTTGCTCTTCCATAAACAAATGGCAGAAAAGAGCTTTACATAAATTATTTGTGTTTTGAGGACTAAAATGACAATATTAATCTGCTTGACTTGCAGGTGTGGGTAAGCTCAAGAGAAGGGGAAAGTGTTTTAATGTGGTGTACCTACGAGCTAGTCCAAATCAGCACTCCAGGGACCACCTCATTTCAGGAAAATGTATAGGGACTAAAGAAGGTTAGGACCAAAAGTTGCAATATTAACAGACATAGTCTGAGAAGCCATTGTCTGAAATGAGCCCTGAAGTTGGGTATCACCATCCTTCAGGGACAGAGTGAATCTGTACAATGAGCCAGATCAGCAAGGTAACATCAAGGATCTGTTGGACTCGCATAACTAAGCATGAATGATACACGCTGCAGGATAGAAGGAATCATTAGCAGGGATGCAAGGGGGAGTTTGAGTGTTCCCTCTGCATGGGTGAGGGAATCAAACTGATCCCTTTTAGGGCTATAAACTCTGAAGTAGCTGGAATAATTAATAGGAAGGCAAACTAACCCAGAGTTACTAAACTTTCTGCTAACTGCAGTTAATTTGGGAAAAAGATGAGACAATGTTTGCAGCCTTGTTTTTTTAATGAGTAAATATGGTGTATTTATGTAGTATTTATGTATGCTACACTGACAGTAGAAAACTAGAGAGAGAGAGAGAGCATGCAGAAATGTACTAAGATTGTGGATGGCAAGGATAATAGCTTAAATATTTCCCATAGTAAATTCTGTCCTCAGAAAGAATTGGAGTTACCACCCCACCTAAATACCAACTTCCATATGAAACTAATTACATGAATTTTCTTTGTCTCTACTTAATAACTAAATAATTATCAAATACCATGTTCTAGGGACTTGTCTATGCTGTGCTACATTGAGGAACAAAATAGGCAAAGCCTCTACCCTACCACAGGTGAAAAAAAAATAAATTAACTGCACACAACTTTATTTGCTTATTATTCAAATTATAATAATTGCTATGAAACAGAAGTAGTAGGAGAACCTATCAATCAGTGACACACCTCCATCAACATGAATTAGATCAGAACTGAGGATGAGACTAAATTTGGGCAATCGAGTGAAATGAAGCTTGTTATAGCTTCAGGGAAATTTGAATTTAATCTTAAGTTAGACAGAAAAAAATAAAATAAAATAAAATAAAAACAACACCTTTCTCCTAGCTGGATATTTCTTCAAAGAACTCTAAAGCCAGTATCTCCTGTAGTTATTTCCTTCCCAGCCTAATGACTAGACAAAAAAACCTGGTGGAGAGGGCTGAGAAAAATCTTAGGGAAGTGGACCCAAAGCTGGAGCCACCGGATTAAGTCAGTTTGAAGCTTTCCTCCTCTTTCATGTTAACTAATACATTGCTTTATTATTTATGTAAGTTTCAGTTCTTTTTTTTTTTAATTTGCATTTGAAAGTATCTGAACGGATACAGTATTACATAAGTCATTTAACATCACAATATATTTTTTTCATTTACTATATGATCCCTAAGGATATTAGAAGCTTATTATCGATACTAATGAGATGTTTGTCATTGTATAGCAACCTATAAAGTGCAATACATTTTAAAGTCATTATTTAGGAGTATGAGCATAAAAATAGTATTAAGATTTAAGTTCATTTTCACTAACAATCATGGCTGTGCAAACTAAAATGGTAAAAATATATGTAGGTATTATTTTTTGTGTAGAAGAATTCAGAAATTAAAAATTACCAATTTTACATACGTGTATCAAAAACCAACAATATCACTAAACCTTTTATGAAAACTGGACATTTCAAAACATTTTCACAATGGCTTGGCCAGTGAAAAACAAAGTCCCTGAGAGAATATGTGAAAAACTATGGTCAATAAAGTTGAACATTTTCCTGTTAAAATGAACCAGGTGTTAGCATTTATAAATATTTACACCATTATCAACCCCACTTAAAATGTTGAACTAGGAAATACATTAAGTATCTGGATGAGGACACAGGGCCTAGCATTCAGATTTGGGTACAGAAAACCTAACTTTAGAGAATAGAGCAACTAACTAACCCTGAAGAAGAAGTGCAATATAAAAGACAAGAATAAATGAAGTAGAACAGCTAGGTAGTGGAAAAAGCTGGAGAGGTTAAAAACTTATTCAATGACATTTTGAAAGAACTTGCTTCAGAGAATTTCCCAGTGGACACATAATTCTAATGTCAGGATTGCATTTTTATTCTCATAGTTTTGCAAATGCATTCTTCTACTTTTAAGGGGCATCTTATTTATATTGCTCATTAAATTACCCCAGTTTTGCTCTGGGTAAAGAATATAATTATGTTTTCAAAAATGACTGATTTCAGAAATGACTAGCCAATTCTTCTGTTTATTAAAGCTAAAAATTATCAGTATTTCCTAATAAATGTTTTATTTCTTATTTACTTAGCTACACTTGATAATGTCTAGTGCTTTTCAACCAAATTACATGAAAAGCTATCAGTTTTAACATCATAATAATAGCTAGTTGAATATTTTTATTAACATTTCAATAGTTCATGAGGAATTTTAAAGATACTGAATAAAAGGAGAAATTTTTCAGAGCTAAACAAATGTTAGTAAATTCTCCTGAATCAGATACTGATCCCAACAGGGAGAAAAGGAGTTTGTTATAGGACCATGACTAAAAGACTGATTGAATGATTGCTCAGCAGCCTGACCTATGACAAGAGAATTGATCCTAGAGAAAAAAGCAGTTACTATTTTTGTTGGCATTTCAGCAGTGATAGAGAGGTTTGTGTGAACCTGTCACTACTCAGACTAATGAGGAGATTTTTAGAGGCTGGAAATAGAGGACTTTTTGAAAATCATTGCCCCAAAGCATACAAACATGTTGCAGTATAGTACTGCTCATATCTTGCATAAATGTTTTTGGAAAAAAATGTGCCAAATACAGACTCATGCTAGGTGGAATTAGTTTTTCTAAAAACTAGGAAGTGGTCACATGGTCACAAAAAATGGAAATATGACTGATGGGCTTACAGATTGCTGTAATTACAGATCGCTAGGGTGTTTGTGTGTGTGTGTTTGTGTGTGAGTGTGCCTTTTAGTTATTGACTTCTAAGTTTACTCTTGTCTATCTTGCTTAGATTTTTGTTATACTGGTTTGATTTAAAAACAAAGAATACCATGATAGAAAGAAATTTAGTATTCAAAATCGGGACTGGTATTTTGGAGACTTATATATATATATATATATAACCTTAATAAAGCATACAAATAAAATCTTTTATTAATACAACAAAAACAAACCACAAAATAACCAACACAGGTGTGCATGCGCACACACACACATACACACGTGTATATATACACATATATATACACTATATGTATATATATATACACGTATATATATACACACATTTCAGCTTAATGATGTGGTTCAGAAAAAAAAAACTTTATTATATACAAGCAAGTCAAGAACTAAGGAGATTTTGGAATCTGCTATGAATAATATAGACAGAATATAAACCAAATTAGAATGTGACACAAAATAAAAGTATGTTATCAAGGGTGGTTGTTTAGCAGTCTGAAAATAATACTAAAGTGACATAATATTCTTTCAAATGTCATGATTTTTTTCCTAAAAACTGCATATTACTTTTTACCAGTAGTACAACATTTCTTATTTTTGCGTGGGAAATAGATTTGGTATCTTGTGCTTTGGGGAGAAAAAGACTGTAAGAATTATAGAGTAGGATGCAAATTATGATTGATCAGCCTTCTAAAGTCTTCAGTGCAAATGATGCTTGTGGGTTTGGGAAAGACAATAATTCATACTGGTTAAATATAGAATTGAGCTCATTTCTCAGATCTTCCATAAGAGCTATATAAACCTGAGCAAGTTACTTAAACTTTATAAATTTCAGTTTTCTTATCTATTACATAAAAAAATCAAACTTTAAAGTTTTTCATAAAATAATATAAGTTTAGGGATTCTAAGGCCTTGAGTCAAGGAGGGTTCCAGAAAGGATAACATAAAAATGTGCTTTCTGTGGTTAGAAGACCAGAGAATGAGTAATAGTAGGAGGATAAGACTCCTGAGGATGAAGATGACAAAGTTATTTTTGAGTAAATAATAATGAGAATACAAGATTGGGAATCTGGCCAAAAACAAATGCCATTATGATTACTATTTTTTAAATTAAGAACTTGTTTAGAAATAAGAGATACTTGCCTCAGTGCCAGACCATGGTAGCTATTTAGCAGAAAACATTACAAGAGGGAACATGTTGGTCTATTGAGAAGGTAAATTTTAAGAACATGGGTTTTAGTTTGCTAAGGATAATGGCCTTTAGCTCTACCCATGTCCTTGTAAAGAACATTATCTTGTTGTTTTTTAAAGCTGCATAGTATTCCATGGTGTATGTAATACACCATGTAAAGAGAATATGTACCACATTCTCTTTAGGGAGCCAAATGATGAGAACACATGGACACATAGAGGCAAAAAACACACACTGGAGCTTCTCAGAGGGTGAAGGGTGGGAGAAGGGAGAGGATCAGGAAAAATAACTAACAGGCACTAGGCTTAACACCTGGGTGATGAAATAATCTGTAAAACCCCCATGACACAAGTTTACCTATGTAACAAGCCTGCACTTGTACCTCTGAACTAAAAATAAAAGTTAAATAAAAGGAATCTGGGTTTTGACATAAAGCAGAAAAGAGGGTGCAGATGTTACCATAAGACAGATTTGTCATAAGTGTTACCTTGGCCATTTATTTAATGAGTAATGATGGTAACCTTATATAGGTTTTATGACACTCAATTTACTTGCTAAATTATGCACACAGAACTGTTTGAGGAGTTGGAAAAAAGGAGAAACATACAAATTCACACACATGTATGGTGAAAAAGTAGTCATTCTAATTGCATAAAATGATAATCATTTTATAACCACTCTCATACTGATATTGGCTCTCAACCTGAATCTACCTAAGTTTAAATTTGGAATAGCTCTATGAAATGACAATCCAGAGAGTGGGTAAGCTTGTTCTTAGAGCAAAACTCAACAATTGTCTACACAAACATTAACGAAAGAGCAGCCTTGAGCAAAGAGGAGCTTTTCAAACTCCATTTACTTTTCAATGAAGACTAGAAACAGCTACTTATGATTTCTTTGGTTATAACATTATAACTTCCAAATTATCGTCCAATTATGTTAGCCTCCTTACTGTTTCTCTCATGCTTCTAGCAATAAAAACTGTCAATTTAAAAATAGCAGGGAAGGGAGGATTCTGGAACGACAAAGGGGTGGGGAACACCAGGAATCTTTCAGCCCACCCAGACAACAATTACACTGAGAGAATCTGTCTGATGTAGCTATTTTGGAACTCTGGAGTGTACTGAAGCCTTTTACTTCAAGAGGAAAGCTTGAACCATGAATTTTCATCAATTTCAGCTCTTAACTAGTCAATAGCTACCCATTACCCACCCTCCATTCCTGAGACAGGCAGCTATGCATGTGTTCCTGGAGCAGCTTGCACACAGCTTACAGGAGCCAGGGTGGGCAATAAGGACCTTGTCCTCCAAATATCAGGGATCTTTGTTCTACTTGCTGATTGCTGCTTCTTATCATGGAGGTGCAGACACAGAGGTGAACAGCCATTGTTGTTGTACCTCTCCCTCATAGTTGCAATCCTTTCCTCCTCTGGCTGAAAGGAATTCTTGGTGATTTAAAGGGCTGGCCCATTTTTTCCACCCTTCATTTTTGTCTTTCTCCTTTTGAGAACCACACACTAAAGACAAAGAAATTCAAAAGCAACTACATATGTGAAAGAAATTAGAAAGTCACTACACATGCCCAAAGAAAGACACAGGCTTGGAAGAAATCTAAAAAGGTTTTACTTTACACCTCAGCCTGATCCTTAGCACAAAGACAGCCTAAAACAATAAAACAAAACAAAATATCAAACCCCAGGGAAGGAGCCTAATCTGATTTCCAGAGTTACCACATTATTGGATTTAGACGCACAGTTTTCACAAAAAATTCAACAGGCTTATGCTATGATCTGAATGTCTCCACCCAAATTCATGTGTGGAAAACTTAATACCCAAGACAACAGTGTTGGGAATTAGGGCCTTCTAGGAGGTGTTTAGGTCATACAGACAGAGCATGAATAGATTGATGCTGTTATAAAAGGTCTTGCCAGAGGGAATTTGGTTTCTTTTGCCCTTCCCTCTTTGGACAGGGCAAAGAAAGAAATTGGGTTCCTCCATTCTGGAAGACACAGCGTTCAAGGTGCCATCTTGGAAGCAGAGAGCAGCCCTCACCAGATGCCAGCTATTTGTTCTTGGATTTCTTAGCCTCCAGAACTATGATAAATTATCTTCTTTTTTTTTATAAATTACCCAGTCTCAGGTATTCTGTCATAGAATCACAAAATGGACTAAGATAGCATATAACAAATGGTAAAAATATGGCCTCTCAAAGGAAAAAACAAACCAACAAAAATGGTCCCTGAGAGGAAGCTGATGACAGAGCTACTAAAAAACTGCTTTAAAACTATTACCTTAAAGATGCTCAAAGAACTAAAGACATGAAGAATTTCAGGAAAACTACATGTGAACAAAATGGAAATATCAATAAGGAGATAAAAACTTAAAAAGTAACCAAAGAGAAAATCTGGAGCTGAAAAGTACAATGACAAAAATGAAAAACGCATAAGAGGTATCCAAAGACATGAGCAGCTAAAAGAAAGGATGCATGAATGTGAAGACAGGACCATTGAAATTATTGAGTATGAGGAACAGAAGGAAAAAGATTGAAGAAAAGTGATCAGAGCACAAGGGACCTGTGGATACTATCATGCAGACCAACATATGCACTGAGGAGTTCCAAAAAGAAAGGGAGGGAGGGAGGGAGGGAGAGAGGTATAGAGGGAGAAGGGGAGAGGGGGAGAGGGGCAGAGGGGAAGGGAAAAGAGAATATTCAAAGAAATAAAGGCCAGAAATTTCCCAAATAAGATGAAAGACATGAATATAAACATTCAAGAAGCTCAATGGACTCCAAGTAAGATGAACTCAAGCACACATTGAGACACATTATAATCAAACTATCAAAAGACAAACAGGGAATTTGGCAAGCATAAACAGAGACACAATTTGGCACATCTGAGAGATACTCAATAAGCTTATTTGGAGATCTCTCATCAGAAACTTTGGAGGCCATGCAGCAGTGGGATGATATAGCTAAAATACTGAAAGAAAAACAAGACCTGTAAGCCAAGAATCCTATATCTGGAAAAATTATCCTACATAATTTAAGAGACTAATGCATTAAAAATAAACAACAATTAGTTCATGTTTCGGATACACATGTATTGAAATGTTATTTTGTGATATCAACAACTAAAAAGGATCAAGATATAGATATAAGGGAGCAGAGTTGTTTATGATTGCAATTAAAATGGCATAATTTTAAATTAGAGTTTTATAAGTTTAAAATACTAAGTGTAATCCCCATGGTACCCATAAAGCAAATAGCTATATAATTTTGCTTTAGAAATAAACACAAAAGGGATGAGAAAGGAATAAAAACATTATAAAAAATCAGCTAAACACAAAGAAGACAGTAAGCTAGGAAAGGAAGGACACAAAAGCTATAAGAAATATAGAAAACAAATCACAATATGACAGAAGTAAGTTCTTTTTTATCAGTAAAGTCTTTAAATGTAAATAGATTAAATTCCAAGATAGAATGACAGAGATTGGCAAAATGGGTTGAAAAACAGAATCCAGCTACAGGTTAAGTATCTCAAATTTGAAAATTCTAAATCTGACATGCTCCAAAATCTGAAACTCTTTGAGCACCAACATGCTGTTCAAAGGGAATGCTAATTGGAGCATTCAAATTTTAGATTTCAAAATTTCAGATTAGGGATTAGTAAATACAATGCAAACACTTCCAAATCCACCCCCACCAACCCCACCGCCCCAAAAAAAAATCTCAAATCTGAGATACTGCTTGTCCCAAGCATTTTGGATATGGAATATCCAACCTACACATGCCATCCAAAAGAGACTCACTTTAGATCCCAAAACACAAATAGGTTGAAATAGGTTGAAAGTGAAAGAATGGAAAAGATATTCCATGCAAATAGTAATCAAAAGAGAGCAAGGGTGACTATATTAATAGCTGAACAAACAGACTTTAAATCAAAAAAAGATTAAAAAAGACAAAGAAGGACAGCTTATATTAATAAAAGGCTCAATAAACCAAGAGGATATAACAAAAAATAAATAAAAGATTCCATCTAAATGAAAACTAGGTAAATAATAGAAGAAGTGCTAAGCTGAAAAGATGTTGATTTAACAAAAGAGTACCTGAGCCTTCAAGGTGAATTTGAGCGATTTGATTTCTCTGCTCAATGTCTGAGATTAAATTGGTGCCTGGCCTGGGTCTAGGGTGCTCCCTCACCTCACCCACGTTATGTGAAGCTGTGATTGCGGACAGCTCCAGAGGCAGTGGCAGAGTATAGCTGGCAAGTATATGATGTGGCCAAAGACCAGGACCCTCATCCTACAAGTCTGAGGGCAACCTCTCATATATCTCAAAATCAAGCCTACAAGCCCCCCTATAACCCAGTGATACCACTTGTAGCAATTTATTCAAGGTACACTCATACACATGCAAGAGGATGAATGTATACAGATGTTTATTGCAACACTATGTTATAATGGCAAAGGACTGATCCACATGTCCCTCCATAGGGGACTGGCTTAATACATGGTAGCACATTCATGCTGCAAGAAACTACACATCCAGCTAAAATGAGCAAGACATTACAGTATGAACAGAAAAAGAACAAGACAGTACAAGATGTGTAAATGCATAAAAATTTATAAGATACACTATTAAGTGAACAAAGATGCACAGTAATGCTAAAATTGCATAGAAAGAGGGAAGATGTATTTACATTTAGGCTCACTTATCCATAGAATAGTTCGGGATGTTTCCCAGGAATCCGGACAGTGATTGCATCTGGGGATGGAAACTGGGTGCTTTTTGAATTTTGTAAGATGTAAATAAATTGATAAATTCCCAAGCATGAAGGGAAGTTTAAAATACTCTATCCTCTGGAGGTCTGTGAACATAGGATTGCAAAGTAGTTGGTGGCAGCCAAGAATAGAAAGCTAAATGAACCAAATCTGTGGGACTTAGGAGAGAAAATAAAAAAGGTTAAGTCAGCCTAGGACCAGCCAGGAATACTTAGGTTTAAGGAATATCTGTATTTGTGATACCATGTTCCACCATAGCTTGACAAAACTTGTACAGTCATTGCATGGAATTCTCATTTCAGAATGGGAGGGCAAGGTTCGAGAAGTGTTTCCAACTCATTTTGGTATGTCTAGTTCAAACAAATCCAAGCTGGAAAGAGTTGTCCTGTTGTTGCTCATAGTGACAGCAGGTGTATATAGAAATTTTGTTCATTATAATCTATGGGACTTCATAAGTCTTAGTGAAATTTACAATTAGGAAAAACTTTTAAGAAAGATTATGGTTTTTTCAAGGACATTTTTCCCTAAATTTATTCTCAAACTAATTTTGGTCCAAACTCATTGCAGAAATTGAAAACTATTTTGTTTAGTCATCCTGATCCCACTTCAGCTTGGTGTATTTTCCATCATTTTAGTGGTTTATATATGCTAAACAACCTTACCAGAGGAGAACACCTACATAGCTCAACCACCAATTTACTACACTTTAAATACTTTAAGCTATGTAAACAGGCTATTCTTATCTTATTAAGCTTCATAGGTTTCTTAAATCATGCCCTACATAAAGATGTAATCTCAGGTCTTTTAAGGAGCTTAAAGACTTACCTATCAAAATAATGTTTTTAAATACTGTTTAGAGTAAATCCATTACATCAAAATATGGTATATGTTCATATGGAAAGGAAGAAATGTTAATAGCTATTTTCACAGTATGATATTAGTTATTGATCTCTATCTCTATCCATAGACAGACAGACAGATAGAGATACAGGTTTATGTGAAACAGTACAAAAGTTCCTTTCCTTTAAATATTATCTCTAGAAGTCTCCTGCATCTTTTGCTATCAAAGTATCTAAGAAACAGATTTTAGGTCTTCAAGTGATCCACAACAGGATGCAAAGTGTTCAGTTGAAACCACCTTGTTTCAACTTCCAGATCATAGACGGGATGACATAAAGCTTTATGTCCAAACATAAGTGTAATAAATACAATAGATTATATATTTTTAAAAAGCTTTATGTAAGTTACTATTAAAGAGTAAGTATAGGTTATCAAACAATGATCATGAACCTAATAAGTTTTTCAATTTTATCATATAGTAATTTTCCTTCAGTATAAAATTTCTATCCTGATATCCGAGGCACTCAGCCTGTAGACATAAACCAATAACTTGAGTAGAGAATGGAAAAAGTGTTTTAATCAATTCTGCCATTTTAATCTTTCTAGACACTGATTATATAACGATAGCAAATAAATTATTAAAATTAAGGAGTACATTCCTGTTCTATTCAATGTATGTAAAAAAGGCATTTTTTCCCACAAAAAACTAGGGTTCCATAACAATTATATCAAAAAATTATTTCAAATAATTATCTTGTATTTTCTCATATAAATTTTAAAAAATATTTTAGATAAAGCATGAAGAAAATACAATTGCATGTCTTTTCCTTTGAGCTTACTGCCCTTACTGTGGTAGATTTTTAAGTATGACTATCCAACTATAATATTAATGCAGAAGATGAATGATAAGATATTACTGCTAGTAAGTTGTTTTGCCTGTCTTACATTTGTAAAAACTAGCCTTTGAATATTTGTACACAATGAGCAACATTTATGATATTATGCACAAATTAAAATATTCACTCTATAGTAATGATATAGAATGAATCAAGCAATATTACTTTGTGAATGCACAGGAATCTCTTTGAAAAATGTCCATTCCTCAGAAAACAAACTGCCTGTGTGCCTGCTTCCTTCCTTTCTAGGGTGCATTTTATCCTAGCACAATTTACCCAGCTATGACAATATTAATGGACCATCAATCCATTTTTAGTGTTTTGCCCCTTTAAACAATGCTGAAAATAAATAACTGTACATAAATCTTTAAGCATTGGTTGTTTTGGATTTTTAGGAACAGTTTGAAAGTCAAAGAGTGTTATTTATCTTAATTTTAGTAGATATTTACAATGGTTTTTAAAATTTTGTGAAAACTCACATTTCTAACAGCAATATATGAATTTTTCAAGCATCCCCAATAGCAATTGATGTTACTGATTTTAAAATTATTCTGTTAAATTTAATGGCTATAAAATAATTAATTGTAAATATAACTTACATTCTGACAACTAGTAAATCTGATATTTTTTCATATTCATTTTCCACTTGAATGCGTTTGATTTGTTTTTTGATATAATTTGCATTGGGCTCATTGTCTCCTTGATATTTGGTAATAGTTATTTGAATATTATATGTATTAACCCTCTGTGCTCTGTACTTCAAATACATTTGTCCAAGAACCTCCATTCTCAGAACAGAAATACATGAAGTAACACCTCTAAATCTTGAAGTTTTCCTATTTATGAATGTTGCCCTCTATATATACCCAACACAAAATACTCATATATGGCATGAAATTCCAAAAAAGCACAGAGCTAGAGAATATCAACAGTCAAGGAAAATCCCCATGCTTTTTCCTCCTGTTTGAAAATATTATAAGAAGGGAATAAAATGAGAATAATACAGAGGGTATTCCAAATTTCTTGTCTGTTTTCAACGAGATAGCTATTCAAAATTAGGCAAAGAAACTTGAAAGAAGAGAGTAACAGTCATCTGTGCTATGACACCAAAAGGGAATTAATAGAGACTGGGAAGATAAATCACAAGATACAGTGTTATCTGGACTGGCCTCTGATGCTTTGTCTTCTATTCTAAATTTCTATGATAGTTCTTCAGGCTTCCTTCCAAAGGAAGCAACTGCTCCTGCTCGACTAGTTGAAACAAGACAAAGCTAATTACATTGGCAGAGTGACTTTGCTAAGCAGGGTCTTTGTTCCTTTGTTATCTTAATTTGCATAAATACAAAATTTATGTTATCAATACAATGGATTTGTGACACGGAAAGGCATTATTTCAGTGTAAGTACTATTTTAAATGGAGTTAAACCATTTACACAAAGAAAGCTTATTAAATGGTTTAGTCTATGCATTTTTTTTTTTTTTGAGACAGAGTCTCACTCTATCACCCAGAATGGAGTGCAGTGGCGCAATCTCTGCTCACTGCAACCTGTGCCTCTCAGGTTCAAGAGAGTCTCCTGCCCCAGCCTCCCAAGTAGCGGGGATTACAGGCATCTGCCACCATGCCCGGTTCATTTTTGTATTTTTAATAGAGACAGGGTTTCACCAGATTGGCCAGGCTGACTTCGAACTCCTGACCTCAGGTGATCCGCCCACCTCAGCCTCCCAAAGTGCTGAGACTACAGGCTGGAGCCACCACTCCTGGCCTAGTGTATGCATTTTTAATTTTCAATTGTATACATACAATCCTAAATATGTATATTTATTCACAAATGTGTATATATGAAATACTCTAACTGATTGTGAAAACAACCCCATGAGGTAGGGAAAGCAGAAGATAAAAGCCTAATTTCACAGTGGAAGGAAAATATTGAAGTTTAGAGAAGTAACTATTCTGATTAGGGTCAAGGAACAAATAAGTAGTAGCCTGGGCCAGTGCCCGAGACTTCTGATAACTGATTCTGTGTTCTACCCGTCAAAGATGATCAAGTTATGATAGAAATGTAAAATTGGAAAATCTTTCTAAAATTACAAATGAAGTAATGCTGCCTCTTTAAAAGAAGTATTTCATAAAATTGCATAAAATTGATACTTGTTAATCATCTACCCAGAGTAGGCATTTCTCATTGCAATGATTCAGTGCTAGTTCCTGAGTTCTTTGGGTCATTTGTGCAGAGATGTGATTACATTTAGATTTTCCCACAAAGAATGACACAATTTGATTACTGTTCTCTCACCAGTTTATGTATCTGCCTCAGTTTTGAGATTATCTTTATTTTGTTTAGCTCTTCACTCAGTTAAAAATAATAAACAAAAAATAAGAATGACCACCAAACGTGTTTTTGAAAATGGAAAAATCTTCCTTTTCATATTTGTTGCCCTGTTTCTCCACTAGCTTCAACTAAATTGAGGCTCTGGACTTGAATGGCCATGGCTGAATTCCTGATATCACCATTTGTTGTGTGACACTCAGTAAATTAATTTTTGGCTTCATCATTGGCAAAAATTCACAAGCATGTGACATGTAAAGGATTCAAATAGGTGCATTGAACTGATACAACTAGTTGCATTATTATTCCGAGATCCAATTTCTGTACTACCTCTATTTATTATCATTGTAAAAATTCATGGTTAAATTGTGAAAACTGACTAATACCCTAGAATAAACAAAACATATCTTCATTGCTTATTTTGTTGGCCTTCTCATTTAAAAGTTTATTAAATGGATAAATATTAATTACAGTCACCCCTAGTTAATATGAAGAAAAACAATTATGGTGTTCATGTCTTTACTGTTGTGTGCACCTAAGGTCAATTGTTAGTCTTTTAAAATCATCCTGTAAGTATGTTAAAAGCCTTAAGTATCCCAGACTTTAGTTTAATATTAGAGTCTTATCATTAATAGTTTTTATCTAATCCCTTGTTATGCCAATAATGGATCATTAAGCATGGGATGAACTCGCAGAGAATCATAAGGAAGCCCATTATTTGATCTTTCAATGACTGTAATGCAGTGTGTACTTGAGATTCATTCAGAGAGTTTGGAATGGATAACTATGAAAATTTGCTTCTCTACCAATGTAAGCTTATTTCACAGATGATTTTATTTTGAACTGCCAGTTAATTGTAGAAACACAGAAAGATTTCATCATGAGTAGGGTTTCTGGAAGCCATATGCCGATCATGAGTGAAGGAGTGTGTATAATCATACTCTGCAGAAGGATATCAGATTATTAAATAATGTACATTGTATGTATGAAATTTATTATAAACCTTCTCTCTTATTGTAGCCTGTCCATGGGAATATAGATTCTCTACCATCAGATAATACAAATCATATTTCAGGTGCAATTACCATATTTGAAGTCCCCGTTTTGAAACACTTTTATAAACAAAAACACATTATTTAAAAATTGAATACTGTCTCTTTCACTAAATTGGAAGGGTTTTTTAAAAATTATAGCAAATTGAGGAACAAAAAGTAAAGAAGAAAAATATATTTTTAAATGTCAGAGGAAAAAAATGAAGGGAAGGAAATTTGTTTAGTTGTTATTGATATTTTATTTATGTGTAAATATATGTGTGTATATATAACTATATATAAATCTTATATGATGTCTATTTCATACATAAAATAGTATAGTCACTGCCATCTATCTTGCTAAGTAATTCTGGCAGTTACCTTAATTATTTGGAAGGAAATTAATATTCATGAAATATAATGAAACCTCTTAAATAGCTACACAGTATTTGGCATTATATCATTAATAAAGTATTATATGAGTGATTTTTCAGTTGGGGTGAGTGAATAATAGAATTTTTACTTGTAAGGACTTTTTTTGAGATAGGAGTTTATACGACAATAAATTTATACTCAAAGAACCAGAATAAGAGCTTACCATTTATTAATAAAAATTAACACATACATGTTTATTGCTAAAAGTATGATTTAGATTAATTGAAAAGAAAAAATCATACATTACTTTAAGAAACTTTAAGATTCTTGAGGATTTGAACTTATTTTCTGGCGAATATTTATATATGGCTTAAAAAGAATTTGGTTGCTTCCTCAAAATATGCCTAAATACCTCTTTCACTGGACACCTGCTACGTCTGAAAATGGCCTCTGAGAATAAGAACTAGTGACTTTCCATCAAAAACTGAAATCTCACCCATAATGTCAGTAATGAATCAAATTCAAGTTCATAGAGGTAATCTGAAATCTAAATGACAATACTAATTATAAAGGAGCAGCAGTAGAATCACATACAAAAACCAGAGCCAAGAATTGCAAGTAATCAGAAATGGAATCCAATTGGTAGAAAGTCAGGAGTGAGTGGGAGGGAAAATAGGTAATTTGTCATAAATTTTGCATTAACTTTGTTGTGGTGATCAAGCTGAGTCAAGATATATGGCTTCTTTATTGTGGTAGAGAGATGGAGAGATGGAAGCATTATTTTTCAGGGTTTCACATTATTTATTTTTACATACATATCTAAATAAATAGGTATTGAAAATGGTGAGCTAGAAGCTAAGTGGAAATCATTCTGAGGTGAATATATATGTATGTGTTATACATATGCTTTTGAGAAATATATATATGTGTGTGTGTGTGTATATATATATGCTTTGGATATCAAACTGTGAGAATTATAAAACTGAAAAGTAAGTCAGCTCACTGCAACTCTCACTTCTTAATGGTCCCCAAGATTGTTAAAGCCTCTGCTTTTCCCCATTTCCCAGCATTCCTTGCACTTTGTTGCGAGGGGGTTGGGGGGAATGTAACTGAGTTTTAGTCAGTGGAAATTAGGATGTAAATGATATAAACAACTCTTAGCCTTGACAGTTAAAAACATATCACCCTGTAATCCCAGCACTTTGGGAGGCTGAGGAGGGTAGATCACATGATCAGGAGATCGAGACCATCTTGGCCAACATGCTGAAAGCCTGTCTCTACTAAAATACAAAAAATTAGCTGGGCATGTTTGTTTACATCTGTAGTCCCAGCTACTCGGGAGGCTGAGGCAGGGGAATTGCTTGAACCTGGGAGGTGCGGGTTGTAGTGAGCCGAGATCGTGCCACTGCACTCCAGCCTGGAGACAGAGCAAGACTCCATCTAAAAAAAAAGCTCCCAAAACAAAACAACAACAACAACAACAACAACAAAAAACATATTATCCTCTCCCTCTTGTATCACACAACTTTGGAAGCTATATATCCATTGTCATAACTACAATATGAAAGAGATCTGGTTCATCCATAGTGTGAATGAGAAAGAAACCTTTCTTGTGTGAGTTCAGGAACACAATACTTAGATTTGAATCTTATCATCTAAGTAAAGAAACAATAAAAAAGAAAGTAAATGGTGTTTCAAGAAACTCCAAAACAGAAAGTAGTTCAATTTGAATGATTAAAACTTAAAATTTTTCAATTTAACTTCTGATAATTACTAAAAATAAAAGAAAGCTCTTAGTATTATGAAGCCATAGAAAAGTGTAAGAATTTTCTAAAAATGAAAAACTATACATACATAGAAAAATTAATTGTTACACTTAGAAGACCTCCATCTTAATTATAGACTATAGTAGCTGAATATTAAAGGATGACAACATTAGGTTTGAATTGTAATTAAACATAATCAAACAGTTATTGAAAAAATTTTAGCTAGACTTCTCATCCATTTGCAAGTGTCAGTTTTTATTATTGTCAGGCCTCTGAGCCCAAGCCTGCACATATACATCCAGATGGCCTGAAGCAAGTGAAGAATCACAAAATAAGTGAAAATGGCCGGTTCCTGCCTTAACTGATGACATTACCTTGTGAAATTCCTTCTCCTGGCTCAGAAGCTCCCCCATTGAGCACCTTGTGACCCCTGCCCCTGCCGGCCAGAGAACCCCCTTTGACTGTAATTTTCCATTATCTACCCAAATCCTGTAAAACAGCCCCACCCCTATCTCCCTTTGCTGACTCTCTTTTCTGACTCAGCCCACCTGCACCCAGGTGATTAAAAAGCTTTATTGCTCACACAAAGCCTGTTTGGTGGTCTCTTCACACGGATGCATGTGAAAATTATACCCCAAGATTTTGCATTATTTTTATCTTGTCTAACTATATAATGAAAACAAATTGAAAAGACCCAATATATTAAAAGCTACTTTATAGGAGTTTTAAAAAGAATTATATCTATCAAAGAATCTCATTATAATTGTAGATACTATGGAGGATTATGGAATAGAGATACACCAAATATTTCCATAATAATAATGTTTTATCTGTTTTTATTTTTATGTCATGCAGATTTTTTTCCAGGTGCTCCATGTCTGCAGAATAATGAAGTTTTAATTTGATATTTTATATGAATAAACACTAGTTATTGTTAAGGGATAATGAAGAATTGTGTATGCAGGCAATATCTCTATTGTAAAAACAGAAACCTAATTGTGAAAATGCATAAAATCTACAAAAATATGCCAAATCTTTTCTAAGACACTTGAGATTACATAAAACACAAAGGAATTTTTATTTATTTCATAAAGTATATAACATTAAATCAAGAGAACATTTTCACATATTAATAAATCTATTTTAACAACTAAATTTTTAAAATTTATTCAAGAATTTTACTTGACAGACTTAGAAGTTAAAAAGGATCTGGCTCAGTGACTGCTGCATTTACAAGTGGTAAAATAATTTCAAGATGAGTGTGAATACCCACATAGGTATTTTACCAAAAACTAGAGCTGGTTATTTTCTAGCTATAGGGCACTGTTCTAGGTTTATATGTATAAGATACAACCCTCTGTCTCCCCTGCCTACAACCTAGGCATGTCCAATAAAGAGTAATATAATACATGCTACAGATCAAGAGGTAGAGCCAATAAGTTCTTTTCTGAGCAAGATACTAAAGATTACAAAACAGACAAGACACATAGGCAAGTTTATAAATTAAATGTTGAACTCTTTAATAAAGAAATATCAAGCATTTCGGACAGGGAGAATTATATGCAAGAAAAATAGCACTTATTCATATGATGAACAAAGACTTCTTGATTACTTATTATGTCTCAGGTGCTTTGATGAGATGTACAGGTGGATCTAACCTGGTGAGGTAAAGTAGGGCAGGTTTATCTGAAAAATCTGACAGGGATTGGGAGTAGGTTGGGAGATGAGGTAAAGTAATTCCAGGCAAATAGAAAAACTTGTGTAAAAGGCCCTGAGATGGAGGATATGAGAAACTGATGTGGATGAAATGGATGTGTATGAGAAATTGACAGACCAACCTGAATTAAAATGTATTGGGATAGTGGAGCAGTCTGCACAAAATGAGGCTGGATGAAGGGAAGGCTAGAAACTGCAGGATCATGTAGGTCAAGATAAATCATAGTTAAGTCTTTATTGATTTGTCTATACATGAATTATAAAAGTTGGATAAGTGTAATTATGAACATTTTGTGCGCTGCAAAGCCAAAAATCTGTAGGATTATATTTCCTCCTCTGTAGGCACTGTCATGACTACTATGCTATTCAAAGAATAATATTTCTAAAGTAGATTTCAAATGCTTTCACCTATTTTCTCTGTATATCTTTGAATTGTAGCAATTCTATCATTCATGTTTCTTTCCCGGAGTCCTCCTTTCCAGAAGTCTCTGCCTCCATTATGAATTAGATGGTTTTTAAGGCAAGTGCTGGGATTTTACCTTAGATAGAATTGCATAACCAAATAGTTTCATTTTTGCCCAGACCCCACACACTTTTTCCTTGTTTTATCCTTCATTTCACTAGTGGTTTCTTTAGTAAACATGTGTTGGAGGTAAACACCTGGGTCTTTGTATGTATAAAGTCTTTATTTGACTCACACATTGATAGTTTACATGGGTATAGAATTCTAGATTAGTTATAATATTTCCCCAGAACTTTAACCATCTTGTCCACTGTCTTCTTGAATCCAGCTTTTCCATAAGAAGTCTGAGCCAGGCGTGGTTGCTCACGACTGTCATCCCAGCACTTTGGGAAGCTGAGGAGGGCAGATCACCTGAGGTCAGGGGTTTGAGACTAACCTGGCCAACAGGGCAAAACCCCGTCTCTACTAAAAATAAAATTAGCTGGGCATGGTGGCACATGCCTGTGATCCCAGTTACTCGGGAGGCTGAGGCAGGAGAATCGCATGAACCCGGGAAGTGGAGGTTGCAGTGAGCTGAGATCACACCACTGCACTCCAGCCTCCAGAGACACAGCAAGACTCCGCCTCAAAAAAAAAAAAAAAAAAAAAAAAGAAGGCTGATGCTAGTTAGCGTTATCCTTGTTTTTTTCAGGTGAATAATTTTTCCCTCTTATGGACGCTCTATATGTTTTACTTTCTGCAAATTTAAAATTATATATTTGTATGTGGACTGTGCATTTGGTTGGGCCTATCAATCTGAACACTGTCAATTCTAGGGATAAGAAATGGACCCTGCTGGATTATATTCTGCTTAATTTGTATTATCTCTAATTGCTTCTTTCTCTTTTGTTCTTTCTAGGAGGAGAGTTTTTCACTTTCAACCTTCTAAAGAATAATTTGGGGAGTTTTATTATTGATTTTTAAGATATTTTTTATTTTTCTATGATTATTTTCATAATAACATTTCTTTTTTTAGTGAATGCCTTATCATCAGGACTGTAATTAGATAAATACTAACTAAAAGTTGTTTTTAAGTTATTATTTTTATTTTCTTTGTTTTTTTCTCTTTGTTCGTTTTGGTGTTTTTAAAGTTATTTCTTTGGGCTTTTGTTTTCATGTTGCTTTCTGATCTCAAATAGTGGATGATACTCCAAAACACATTTAATGATTATGCCACAGAAAGCTACTTGAGAGCTCTGTATAATATTATGGGGGTGGCTGAATGTAGGCAAGATTATTTTGCTTTCTGATGATTGGGCAAAACCAGATGGTTTGGTTTTCATTTTGTTTTTGAGGATCCCTAAAATACCGGAATGCAGAGATCTTTGTTTTCAAGAATACTTTGCTAGCCGCCATAGATTTTTCAAGATCATTTGTTAATTTCCCCCTACCACTTTTCACGTACTTTTTCCCCCCTGTAATGTGTTAGATTCCTGACTGCTGGAAATTCATTCTTCTATTGGTGATAAAAATTTTAAAAAGTTGTATTATCAACAAAAAATTCCTGAGAATCCTGTTTCTTGCAGAACAACTAGTTAGAAAATGGGAACATTTACTAACGTAGCAACACAGAAGAAAAAAGCAGATTTTAGATGGAAGATT